>NC_000012.12:41248006-41399521 GCF_000001405.40 Homo sapiens | reverse complement strand
CTCAGGTGATCCACCTGCCTTGGCCTCCCAAAGTACTGGGATTACAGGCATGAGCCACTGAGCCCAGCCAATATACTTTTAAAACCCTATTAATTTGTAAATTTTTAAGTGTGTACCATTGAGAAAGAAAAGAAAAAGAAATCTTTAGCAAGTTGGCAAAATAGGCAGAAAGAATAAGCAATAGAATATAGGGACACAATTCACTATTTGAATTTTAATACTCTTATGCTTTCATATGTGTTTATATATGCATATAATGCCTGTTGACTGATTTTTTCTTCTTTTTTTATATACCTTGGTCACTGTTATTTTTGGCAATCAATATGTATTATTTGTATAATTAAAAATAATTAATGAATTTTAATGAATCAAGTTAGTGTTTTTGAATTGCATACTTTTTTACTACATATAATAAATACTTTATTTTTAGACCTTTCTAGTTTTCTGTTTTTTAGCTAAGATCCAATAACTCAAATCCTTAAAAAATAATTCAAATAAGTGGAAGGATTGAAAGATACTTTTGCAAGTGCTTGTTTTACAGCTGAGAGTGTTTTACAAATGAATTTGTACAGATGAGATGAAAATAGTTTATTTGAATTTAATCTAATAAAATCTTAGAATTAGAGCACTAAGGGAAGAGTTTCAGATTAATTAAGTTATCATTCATGCAACCAAAAAACTACTGAGCACCTAGTATGCATTAGACACTATTGTAATTTCTGGAATAAAAACTCTTGTATTATAATTTACATACAGCAGGTATGAAAGAAATGAGAAGAGAAAGCTGTATCTTTGAATTTCTACCCCCTGGGTGACTGAATAGGCTTCAGTTGTGATATAAATTAAAGAAGTATAACATTTGATTTTTAACAAAAGCATAAAAAATTTACTAAATGGAAGTTACACACAAGTTACAGCTTGCAGCATTTGTAAGTCATTATAATTCTTGATTCAAATTATTACAGCTAAATATATCACCATGAATCTTTTGGTTATGATTTGATCTGTTCATTCTGTTGGGGAGTGTTCTAATATTTTTCTAGAAAAGGGAGAACAGATCAAGGTCTTTTCCTTCCTACTTCTTTCCCTTCACTTTCTTTTCTAACTTGAACTACTTTTTTTTTTGTCTAATCACTGACTTCATCTACACTTTGTCCCACTTTCCCATTCCTTAGTGACATCTTCAGCAAATCCCATAGTTTCCCAGTCACCTTCAGTTATTAAAAATTATATTGAACTTAATTTAAAACTCTAGTTTCATGACTGCTTTTAATCCACTCTTTCCCAATGCCAGCCAGTCTTCTGATCTGGGGGAAATGAAATAAGAGGACACGGGGTCTGCAAATGGGGGTGCATTTTAAAATGTATTGTCATATTGAGAGTAGATTAGTAATAGTAATAGCAGGCAAAATTTCCAGAACATATCATATGGCTCAGGTTCTTTACTGGAAACATTTTATACCTGAATTCTTCACATCATCTCAGAGATCCAAACAGGTTAATAACCTTCCCAAGGTCCCCCGGGCTGTAGGCAGCAAAGTTCAGATTTGAACTTGAGTTCTTGTGACTCTAATGCCTATTTTTTTTAAACCATGTTACCTCTCTTCTCTATAAGTGGCAATTCTGTGTATCTTTTACCATAAGACACAGCCTCAAAGGATAGGATAACATATAGTCATGTAATAGAGAAAAAAATATAAGTGACTTAAAAAGTAAACTATCACTTTCTAATAAAAGTATTATTAGTTCTTCAAGGGCATAGATACCAATACATAACAGCAAAACTTTAAAACATCCATTAACTAGAGTTGTTCTTGATTTGTAAGGGTAAGAGTAACCCAGAAAACAAAATGTGGGCTCTTAAAATTTCTCTGGATTTTTCCCAAGATTTAATGTACTAAAAAAGACTGAATTCTAAAAGCAATTAAATACAGCATTTTTTTGCCCAGCTTGCCTTGTCAATCCTATTAGACGAAACTCTAATTAAGACTGGAAAAGTGGTTATTTTATCTGCCAAATGAAAATAATTTAGTGCAAGTTAATAAGGGTTGGATTATTACTGATTGGCCATTTTTATTCCAGCTTGTTATAATAGTAGGAATTGCTTTCAAAAGACATACTAGTTTTGCCAGTCATTTACAAGCACAGGGCAAAGCAAGAATCCTTTGTTGTGCCTATTTTTGGATTGAAAATAAGACAGAAATCTACTAGAGTACAAAGCTAAACACATCCTTAGAAATCACAACTGCATGTAGCATGAAGGGAGAGAGAGGTCAATGAAGTAATTCCAGTATTTTATTAGTGTTTTATTTTAACACAGTGTCATTCATTTAACAAATCAAGTAACAGTTTAGAATTTAAAGAATTTAGAAATAGAGTTATCTTTAAAACAATTAAGCATTTATTGCTTACAAGTAGAATATATCCACCAAACTAGACACACCACTTAAAAATGTATTTTATGGGCAAGAGAATAACAACTAAGTATTATAAAAACTGTATTTGGGAATTTTTTTTTTACATTACACTAAAATGATTTTTAGCTAATGGTTCATCATAAAGTAACAGCTAATAAGAGTGACTTTAAAATTCACTCTTGAATACCCGACATTCTCACTGTGCACACACTTAATCTTTTATCATTTTCTCCAAATATGTCTCAAAAATATGAAGAAATCACTTTGCTTCAAAAATACTTTTCAATATGATTCTTCAGCAATATGAAGAAATCAAAAAGTCTTTACATTAGATCTTCTAGTTAAAGAATATAATACAAATAGACAATGAAAACAGCCATGGATATAAAGAACTATGTAGTTTAATCACAAATGTGATTGGAAGTGGATCTTGGAAGTGGATCTTCCCTCAGTTCAGCTTTCTGATGACACTGCAGCCCCAGCCAACGCCTTGATCAAAACCTCACAAGAGACGTTGAGCCTGAAACAGCCAGTTTTGTTGCTCCTGAATTCTTGACTCACATAAATTGTGAGCTAATAATGTTTGTTTTTAGCTGCTACAATTTTGGGTAATTTGCTACACAATAATAGAAAGACCAATACTGATTTTGATATCCGGAAATTGTGTGCTGCCATAACAATAACAACAACAACAACAACAACAACAATAGCAAACGCTAAAATGCAGTAGTAGCTTTTGAATCAGGCAGTGGACTTTTGGGAGAGTGTTAGTAAGCGGCCAGCATGCCTTGAAGAAACTGTCTTATGGTCTTTGATAGGACTGCAGAGGAGAATTTTCAGGGAAGTAAGGTAAATATCATTGGAAACTAGAGGAAAAATAATCCTTATTATGAAGTGGCAGAAAACGTTCACAGCCCCTTTACCTGCAGTAACATGAAAATTAATAAATTGGCTAGTAAAATGTGATGACCTAATTAAGGTCATTTCCAAGCAAATCATCAAAGTCGCTTTCTGGGTTCTTTTTGCTGTTTATAGTAAAATGCAGCAGAATAAAGATGAACTGGAGGAATGACTGGTAAACAAACAGAGGTGAAAGTTGATGGTTTTGAAAATTCTTACTCTTTTTGTGGGGTACATGATGAAAAAATTAAAAAAATGCCTTCTGAGAAAATATTAAACATAGGGTACTACCAAGAAAACTTGGTTCAAAGATAAAGTAAAGGGCATTCCTATAAAATTTTTAATTAAGATCTCAGAAAAATCTAAGGTAGTGTCCTAATATACTATTCAGCTAAACAAAAGGCTTCTAATGAAATCAATGTGTGTCCAGTCTTCCAAATAAACAATAAAACTTCTAGAAAAATTTAAAGTGTTGTTCCTCAGCTGAAGCCTAAGGTAAAGATAGGTATACTTTGAAGATAGTTTTGAGTGTGACTTTTGTAAAATGGAGTGGATACCAATAAGTCACTAAAGACCCAAATTTTAAAAGAATTATAAATGTATACACATTATTAGCTTATACTGAAAAAAGCAAAGATAACACAAAATGAAATATGACTTTTGGACTTCCAAAATTCAACTCACTGGAAGCAGCAAAGAAAATGACTCAGCGGTAAACATGTGCAAACTTTCATGAAAAACAGAGGTTGATTTCAAGCCCAGAAGATGAAGCCAAGGTCCATGAAAAAATCATTCCCAGACTCTGAGACCCAATCAAATAATTTCAGAATTGCTATGGACCAGTGACTCCTTTATGTCTCCCATTTCTCCCATTTTTAAACAGGAATGTCTATATCAATTACAATATACCTGTCATACTGTTGTATTTGGGGAGTGTGGGGAGCAGATACTTTGCTTTTTTAGTTTCACAGGTTTACATATTAAGAGGGGCTATACTCAAGAGGATGTATTTAAGGATCTATAGCAGAAGAGACTCATCCACACCTAGACTTGATATGGATGATGAAGTTCTGGATTTAGAGTTGATACTATAATGAAATGAGACTTTTGGGAGCCT
Organism: Homo sapiens; assembly: GCF_000001405.40. Taxonomy (NCBI): domain Eukaryota; kingdom Metazoa; phylum Chordata; class Mammalia; order Primates; family Hominidae; genus Homo; species Homo sapiens. The sequence goes on along the minus strand of NC_000012.12, from coordinate 41,395,087 downwards.
GGACAGGGGTGGGTGTATTTAGCATAGTGGGAGCAATATAAATAATTTGTGATAAGAAAGTGAACTGCAGTGGTTTAAAAAATTATTTCATACTTTTTCCTTCAAGAGGTAGAGCTTAATTTGCCTTTTCTTGCTTGTAGTATGGACATTCACTTCTAATGAATAAAAAAATAGCAGAAGCGATGGTGTGCCACTCTCAAATTAGGTTATAAAAAGACTGTGGCTTCTGGTTTGGCTCTCTCTCTCTCTCGCCCTCTCTTTCTCTCTCTCTCTCATTTCTCATTCACTCACTCTCTCTCTCTCTCTCTCATTTACTCTAAGAGAAGCCAGCTTCCATGTTATGAGTACACTCAGAAAATCTATGATGGTGCATGCATGGCAAGGAACTGAAGTCTCTGGTCAACAGTTAGTGAGGAACTAAGACCTCTAACAACCACATGAGTGACTGTGGAAGCAAAATCTCCCCAGTAGAATCTTCAGATGCGATTGCAGCCTTGGCCAATAGCTTGGTCAATCTCATGAGTGACCCCGAGCCAGCTAAGATGTTGCTGGATTCCTGACCCACAGAAACATGAGATAACAATGTTTGTGTTTTAAGCTGCTACCTTTTGGAGCAATTTGTTATGCAATAATTGAAACTTAATGCACTGTAATTAGAAGGTATATTTTGTAGATTCTGCTATCATACAAAGCCTTACAGATTTTACCTGTATCTCTTAGAAGGCTGTCACTCTTGGAATAGCATCTTTGGGAGTGTCCTGCAATAGACCGAATATAAGTATCCTCCCAAGATTCATATACTGAAATCCTAACCCCCATTGAGATTGGATGGGAAGTCAGGGCTTTGGTAGATAATTAGGTCATGATGGAGAATCCCTGATGAATGGGATTAGGGCCCTTATAATAGGAACCCCAGAGAGCCCTCTCACCATATTTCCACCATGTGAGGATGCAATGAGAAGACAGCTGTCTGCAACCCAGAACAAGGCCCTCACTTAATCTGATCATGTTTGCACTCTGATCTCAGACATCTAGCCTCTGAACAAGAGAAATACATTTCCATTTATAAGGCATTCAATCTAAGATATTTTGCTATATAGTGGCTCAAATTGACTAAGACATGTTCTGATCTGCCATGTAAGATATTCCTCTACTCTATAATTGTCATTGCAGAGACGCTACCTGTACCTGCCTACCTAACAACCAGGTGTTCTGGTTATCAGTTCCAGTTGAGCCCAGCTGCACAACCATCCCGACAAGGTCCCAGGCATGTGCCTCCTGCTAAGGCACCAAGCATGGCAGTGAAGTGGTCTTGGGTCCTCCAGATTAGCTCACCTTCCAACCAAATATCATTAAGTAATCTCAGTCAGCCCTACATAGAGAAAATAATCACTCTGCAAGCCTTGCATAAATTCTTAGCCCACAAAATCATGAGACATAATAAAATAGTTGTTGTTTTAAATTGTTGTTGAGAACCTGTTATACAATAATAGATATCTAGAACAGTTACCATTTTAATTCTAGGAAAAGCATTCTTTACACAGCAATGCATAATAAGAAAAGCTACATTTTTTTTTTTTATTTTAGAAGGGTTTCTAGATCTTTCCTGAGCTCATAAGACCCTAAGAAGTCATACAAAGCCATATATATATGAGTGAGGCATCAGCATCCTACCATTCAGTTTTTTAAATATGTACTTGCTACAACTAATTGGGTTGCACAGCAGCTACACACAGCCACGGCAACAATGCAAACCTTTTAAATAAATCTAATATGTTCGTGCATTTACCCAGCAAATATTTATTAGCCTCAGACTAATTATAGTGATGAAAAGGAAAATTATTGTTATATAACAAATGCTTGTGCTAAGTGTATATAAAACTACTGCATGATTTAAAAAGAGGAAAAAGTACTACTTCTAAATACTCACTGCATAGTAAATCCTATAAATTGAAATCAGCACTCAATGAAGGAAACAAAGAAAGGAATTGAAGAATTTAGTGGAATAGAAAATCTTTTCATTCCATAGGCACTGGTGATAGTGAGAACACTTATACAGTGTTATCATGCTTAACCCATAATGCCTGGGGCACAACAGGTACCCAATAAATCTTCCTGAATGAATAACACATTTGAATAAATAAATATAGCATATGGTAGTAGAATGCAGTGGCTAAGAGCATTGCTTTGATTCTTGTCTCAAGGCTAATTATAAACTTAGAATATTTTCCTCCACTATCTGGGCTACTTTGCCTTGTGGTTTGGTGTTCAAAAGACAGCTAATAATAAAATGTTTCTTGGCAGCCATTTTCTACTGTACATGTAGTTTCATTAGGAATCTTGATGGAAGAGACGGCTGGTGAAGAAGAGGTTTGCAGTGCTCCTACATACCCCAAATATAAAATAATACCAACTATTTCCAATAGGATTCAATAGGTGATAGCTCACTTTATTAATAACTTCTGGCATAACTAGGATGTAAGTAAGGGGAGGACATTCTGAAAGGAATAATGGTGTGAACACAAGTCCACTGAAAAGAATACACATATCATACTCTGGTAATATGGAGCCTTCTAGTGCAATGCATTGCAATCAGCAGTTGTGAACCATTGGCAAGCTAAGACATCAAGTTAGTGAAATACAGCCAGACTTTTAAATGAAATATTGAAACAGAATATAATATACATATATATTATAGAATAGAAAGTATTGAAGTGAATCACATGAGATAGGAGTAGGTCTTTTAAAAATAATATTTATTTCTGATGTGTGTGTGTGTTTGTATGTACACTGAGTCCCAGTGAATAAGTTCTTCTTTCTCTGGGGTCATGATCAAAGAAACATAAGAATCATTGTCCTAGAGGAACACCAGTGGAAGCCATTGGGGAATCTTGAATAGCAGGAACCAAAGCCTTTATTTTATTCTTCTATCACAGCAAAGCCTTTAGGACAGATTCATACTTTAATTCACCTCTAAGTGTTGAATTCACAAGAATTCTGATATCAGTACATTTTATGTGACCTAATTTTGTTAAGAACTACAAAAAACAAGTTTCTCCATTTTAGTGAATATAACATCTATAGCATAAAGCTATCCTGTAACCTCTTGTCTTTTTCAATTTTACATATTCTCCTTAAAGTCCTGTGCTACTAAGAAAGATTTAATAGGATTTGAAACAAACACCACTCCAGGGCTTCCTCGTCTTCATCACTTGTTGATTTTTGACTATGACACTTATTCAATTAGAACTGACTCACCAATCATGCACTTCTTCGCTAAAGTCAGCTTTCTCACACCAGAGAGAAGGCTATTCAGTTAGTAAAGATTTTTCAATGAACCTGGGGCCAAAAAGGAAAAAAGAAATTTACAGTGCTAAAGGATATAAACTAGTGATTGGGGGAGGAGTACATCTCAAAGACTCCATTTTCCCTCATATTATGACATCCAAGAAATTGGTCGGTTAGAAGTGGGTCCAAAAATAATCATTTCAAAATGTTCCTGATTGTGAGATTATTTAATCTGTTCCTTGACACGAGCCTCAGTAAGTAAGGTGGCTCAAGCTCTTCTCAGTTATCATGTCAATTCTCTCTTGGCCACAGATTCTGGGTGACCAGAAAGTCCACCTTGTCATGTGTTGGTTATACGGTGAGCTTGGAGAGAGCAGGACTTGTTAAGATTGTCAAGTACCATTCATAAATTTATGCCTATGGAGTTGTTCCTCCCTGGAAGGGAATCAAATAACTCATGCTTTTTGAAAATTGCTTATGACAGCTTTTCAGTCTGCTTTAGGCTGGCTCTCTGGGGTGATTTGTATTTTCATATACTACTCATACATTAAAAAATTTACACCTGTCAGGTATTGACAGAGTGCCTCCATCCCTAACCTTCTTCAGGGGGGCACTCTTTGCTTCCAGACATTATCCAAATAAGTTTCTATCAAGAGTGAGGGTGACATAACAGGTGAAGCATAAGAAATATAAAGCATGCAGGTATGGAATTTTAACAAGAAACCAAGTCTTGGGACTTTCTGAGGGGAAGAAAGTTGTAATACTCCGGGAACATTTGAAATTGCATGTCCAGCCATAGGCTGATAGTGGGGAGATACCATTATTCTAGTTGTAGTCCAGAATTTGCACAGTTTGTTTTATTGTTCATGATAGAATCATATTTTCTTCCTACATCTAGGACTTAACGCTTAGCATTAGAAAAAATAAAACTATTCATAGTATCTTCCTTCTTTGTTTTAAAATAAATGACAATAAATATTATTACCAAGTTGTTTGCATTAGTTATTTGGTTTTACTTGCTTTTGAAATTGCTTGCACCACAGGAGCTTGCAAAATCTTACCTCCTGCAGACCACTGTTACATTATTCTTACCAACAACACACTGGAATTTAAGACTGCGTTGAATATTGATGGGATAATATGTTATTTAGCCCAATTAGAAGGACATGTATGATCTAAACCCCAGAAATCATCAAGTTAGAAATATAAAAAAAGCTTTTACTTTTTTTTTTTTTTTGCTTAGGAGTTCTCAAACCCCAGACTACCAGGTGAAAATAGTATTTTACTTAGAGAGTATGGGGCAAAATTCTTTCTTTCAGAAAATACCCTCTAGTTTGTTCTCACCCCTTAGAAGTTCATATGGGTTGGTTAGGGGTGGGGAGCAAAACAAAATAGAACAACAATGACAAATGAGCAGCCCAATCAACTTCGGAAATAAAATGGTATAGCAAAAACATTAACGCAAATATCTCAGGCTGCATTTAATGAAGAAACAATTAATATTCATTTGAACATAAAAAGTTGTTTTTTATACTCATTGTGTTTATAAATAACACCCTAGCAACTCTTCTGGGCAGTAATACTTAATTACTCCTGCTCTTAAAGTCTAATAAATGGCTAGATTATCAGTGTTAAGAGTACACAATTTGTCAATTGTAAATTAATGTTATTGAAATTATCACGGCCCTCAACTGTAAAAAGGGTTTTAATCTCAGGCACCTACCCAAGATTTACCACCCTTACTTTGCAACTGACATGCCAATTGTTGAATTATTGGCTTTTAGCCATTAATTTATCTTATTTTAAGAATAATCTGTCCTTTTCGACATTACCTAAGAGGCTACTGAAATCCCAAAGTGCTTAAGACTGGATTATTTGTACTCTGAATGTAATGGTGAATGTCATGACTACACTCAGTGTTTTGCAGAAGGTGGTAAAATCCAGCAGAACCCACAAGTGGAAATGTCTGATCACTCTTCCAGGTGAGTCCAACTTCCATTTGACCTCTTTGTGCCCAGCACGAAGGGCAATAGCAAAGGAGAGCTGGAGGGTTAAGAATTGACAAGTCATAGTCCATAAACAGGGAATAGTGTATGGAAACCTGGGGCCACATGATGCTACAGAGATTGTCAAGTATCTCAGTAGACATTCAAATCACTTCATTTCTAATATTACATCTACATTGCTGAGGGAGTGACAGATTGCAGAGTAGATTGCACTAGATAATCTCTAAATCTCATGAAAATTAAGACAGACTAAAGTCAAGATAAACATGGTATAGTAGATGACTGGTCCAGGAACAAGTAAATATGGATTTAAATCTCCCTTAGCCATTAACTAGCTACTTTCTAAATTCCCTTTCATTTATAAATTCTGGAATGGCATGCTCTACTTGCTTACATTTGCAGATCATCTTTTGTTACAAATTTGGGCTTCATTTAAAAGCCTAGAGAATGCCTTTAAAGGATTTTGGTGATAAAACAGGATGTGTTTTTAGCATTTTAAATATTAATTTAAATTTACTAACTATAATTAGATGTTGCTTCACTTAGGAACATATTAATATTCTCATTTACAGTATTTTTTATATCTTATCATGGGCCTTTCGAGTACACTCCATTTTAGATCTAAGCATTTTAAAAGGAGTCAAAATTCTTAGTTTGAACTAACATTTATTTTCTCCTACTTTTTCATATAATCTTAAGTACCTGCAGAGACATTTAACTATCCAACCATAACCATCTCTGCCTATGACATGTGAAATTATCTCAGCCATCACAGCCAACTTTATGACAAGTTTCATCAGTGTCACTGACAAGCCAATCAGTTAGTCATTGATATTTGCTTATTACCATCCAGAGAGAAAAGTACCATGAGTATACATGAAGAAGACATAGTACACTGTCCTTACTCTTAAAAACTCATGATAGCTTTAAAAATAAGATGAATACACAAAAAAGATACCTAATATTTGAAGGTAACTGCCAAAGATACATAAACTCAGTGAATGGAAGCTCCATCCTTTTAATTGCTTTAATCAAAAACTTTATAGACACTCTTGACTTTTTTTCTCTCTCCTACACAAAATCCAATCCTGAATCTGTCTTCCAAATTATGCTGTTTCTGAACATTTCTCACCATCTCCATTCTTTACCACTTGACAGTTTCTCACCTATACTACTCCAATAGTTTCTGAAATGTATGCTTGCTTCCACTTTTGGTTCCTTACAGTCTATTCTCAAAACAGCAATCAAATTAGAAAAAGGTAAAGCAGATATCACAAGAGATTTGCTCAAAATCCTCCAGTAGCTTACATTTCAATTACAGTAAAAGCCAAAGTCTTGACAGTGGCCTACAAAATGCTTCAAAATTTGGCTCTTGCGATTCCTCCAACTTTCCTTTTTTTTTTTTAATCTTTTATTTTAAGCTCAGAGGTACATGTGTAGTTTGTTACATAGGTAAACTTGTAAGATTATTTTATCACCCAAGTATTAAGCCTAGTATCCATTAGTTATTTTTCCTGACCCTCTCCTTCCAACCACCCTCCATGCTCTAATAGGCCCCAGCGTGTGTTGTTCCCTCTATTGATCCATGTGGTCTCATCATTACATGTGGTATTTGGTTTTCTGTTCTTGTGTTAGTTTGCTAATGGTAATGTCCTCTAGCTCCACCCATATCCCTGCAAAGGACATTATCTCATTCTTTTATGACTGCATAATATTCCATGGTGTATATGTGCCACATTTTCTTTATCCAGTCTAACATGGATAGGCAATTAAGTTTGTTCCATGTATTTGCTATTGTGGATAGTGTTGCAAGGAACATATGCATGCATCTATATAATAGAGTGAGTTATACTCCTTTGGGAATATATCCAGTAATGGGATTGCTGGGTCAAATGGTATTTCTGTCTTTAGGTCTTGAGGAACCATCACACTGTCTTCCACAATGATTTAACTAATTTACTCCAACACCGTCAGTGTATAAGTGTTCCTTTTTCTCCACAACCTCACCAGCATCTGTTATTTTTTGACTTTTTAATGATAGCCATTCTGACTGGTGTGAGATGGTAGCTCATTGTGGTTTTGATTTGCATTTCTCTAATGATCAGTGATGTTGTGCTTTTTTTCATATGATTGTTGGCCGCTGTATGTCTTCCTTTGAAAAGTGTCTGTTCATGGCCTATGCCCATTTTTTTGTTGTTGTTGTTGTTGGAGTCTTGCTCTGTCACCCAGGCTGGAGTGCAGTGGTGCGATCTCGGCTTCCTGCAATCTTCACCTTCTGGGTTCAGCGTTCAAGCTATACTCCTGCCTCAGCCTCTCAAGTAGCTGGGACTACAGGCACACGCTGCCACCCCTGGCTAATTTTTTTGTATGTTAGTACAGATGAGGTTTCACCATTTTGCCAAGGCTGGTTGCAAACTCCTGAGCTTAGGCAATCCACCCGCCTCAGTCTCCCAAAGTGCTTGGATTACAGGCATCAGCCACTGCACCCGGCCTATGCACTTTTTTTAATGGGGTTGTTTGTTTCTTGTAAATTTGTTTAAGTTCCTTATAGATGCTGGACAGTAAGCCTTTGTTAGAGGAATAGTTTGAAAAAATATTCTCCCATTCTTTAGGTTATGTACTCTGTTGATAGTTCATTTTGCTGTGCAGAAGCTCTTTAGTTTAATTAGATCCTATTTGTGAATTTTTGATTTTATTGCCATTGTTTTTGGTGTCTTCATCATAAAATCATTGCTCGTGCCTATGTCTGAATGATATTGCCTAGGTGGTCTTCCAGGATTTAGCTTGGGATTTTAAATTTAAGTGTTTAATCTGTCTTGAGTTAATTTTTGTAAGTGTTGTACAGAAGGGGTCCAGTTTCAATCTTCTGCATATGGCTAACCAGTTATCCCAGCATCATTTATTGAATAGGGAATCCTTTCCCCATTGCTTGTTTTTGTTAGGTTTGATGAAGATCAGATAGTTGTAGGTGTGCAGTCTTACTTCTGGGTTTTCTATTTTGTTCCATTGGTCTATGTGTCACTTTTTGTTCCAGTACCACCCTGTTTTGGTTACTGTATCCCTGTGGTATAGTTTCAAGTTGGGTACTGTGATGCCTCCAGCTTTGTTCTTTTTGCTTAGGATTGCCCTTGGTTATTCAGGCTCTTTTTTGATTCCATATGTATTTTAAAATAGTTTTTCCTAGTTCTATAAAGAATGCAAATGGTAGTTTAATAGGTATAGCATTGAACTTATAAATTGCTTTGGGAAGTGTGGCCGTTATAACAATATTGATTCTTCCTATCCATGAGCATGGAATGTTTTTCAATTTGTTTGTGTCATCTCTGATTTCTTTGAGCAGTGGTTTGTAGTTCTCATTGTAGAGATCTTTCACCTCCCTAGTTATCTGTATTCCTAGGTATTTTATTCAATTTTTGCCAAAGTTTGACTTCTTCTCTTCGTATTTGAATGCAATTTATTTCTTTCTCTTGCCTGATTGCCCTAGCCAGGACTTCCAGTACTATGTTGAGCAGAAGTAGTGAGAGAGAATATCTTTGTCTTGTGTTGGTTTTCAAGGGGAATGCTTCCTGCTTTTGCCCATTCAGTATGATGTTGGTTTGGGTTTGTCATAGATGGCTCTTATTATTTTGAGGTATATTTCCTGAATAACTAGTTTATTGAGAATTTCTAACATGAATAGATACTGAATTTTATCGAAGACTTTTCTGCACCTATTGAGGCAATCATGCAGTTTTTGTCTTTAGTTCTGTTTATGTGAGGAATCACATTTACTGATTTGTGTATGTTGAATAAACCTTGCATCCCTGGGATAAAGCCTACTTGATTGTGGTAGATGAGCTTTTTGGTGTGCAGCTCGATTTGGTTGGCCAGTATTTTGTTGAGGATTTTTGTATGTATGTTCATCGAGGTTATTGGCCTGAAGTTTTCTTTTTTTGTTGTACCTCTGCCAGGTTTTGGTATCAGGATGATGCTAGCCTCATAGAATGAGTTAGGGAGGAGTCCTTCCTCCTCAACTTTTTGGAATAGCAGGGATGGTACCAACTCTTCTTTGTACATCTGGTAGAATTCAGCTATGAATCCATCTGGTCCTGGGCTTTTTTTGGTTGGTGGGCTACTTATTACTAACTAAATTTCAGAGCTCATTGTTGCTCTCTTCAGCGATTCAGTTTCTTCCTTGTTCAGTCTTGGAAGGGTGTATGTGCCCAGGAATTTACTAATTTATTCTATATTTTCTAGTTTATATGCATAGAGGCATTTATAATATTCCCTGATGGTTGTTTATATTTCTGTGGGGCCAGTGGTAATATCCCCTTTGTTGTTTCTGATGATGTTTATTTGAATCTTCCCTTTTCTTCAACCTTACTTTCTGCTGTGTTTTCCTTGTTCATTCTGTTCTAGAACATTGGCCTTCAAATAGGCTAATAGCATGTCCATTTTACTTCGCTTTGGCTGTTCCTTCTGTCTGGAATGCCTTTCCCCTGTGACATTTGCAAGGCCATGTCCATTGCCTCCTTCATTCTTTGGCTCAAGTGTTGCCTTGTTTTTCTGATCTTCCTTTTTAATTGTGCAACTCCTCCCCAGAATTTCCTATCACCTGAAGCTTGCTTTGTTTTTCTTTAAGGTACTTATCATATTCTACTATACAGTATTATTTCCTTACACATTTTGTTCATGGTCTGTCTCTCCCCACTAGAAATATTTTCCATTTTTTAAATGCTGCAGGGGATCAGTGTTGTAAATCATAGTTGGCATCAAGTAGGTGCTAAGTGGTTATTGAATGAATGAGTAAATTGAGAATGTAGGATTCATCATTGTACTTTCTAATGCAATCAGGTGTATCTTATCTGTAAGCAGTAGTAAGAGGAAAGCCTTCACTTACTGAATTCCTGCCAAGTACCAGGCAGGATTCCAAGTGTTTAGCATACACCACCTTTAATCTTAAAGCCCCTGGAGTTGGGCATTGCTGTTACTTCTAGTATTATTATTTCCCTTTTCCTGGGTGAAATTGAGTCTCACCCAGGGCACACAGTTGAGTTAATAGGAGATGCATGATTCCAGTCAACATATGATGACTTTGGCAGAGCCTGTCCTTTTTGCCTTACACTATACAACCTTTTGAGAGCTAAGAAAAGGGCCTCACAAGCCAAGAAATAAGAGAGAGTCAACAGTTATAGTATACTCACAGTAGCTAGGATGTGCTGTCCTAGGAAGTAACCCATTCCAAGAGCGGAGGACATCTGGGTCTCTCCAAGATCAATTCTACTCTATTGGAAAAGTAACTGATTGTAACAACTTAAAATAATCCAGCACTACTGAATTCTCTTTGAAGACAGTATTAATTTGATCTATATTGAGTCAAAAAACAGGAAACCCGTAAAATAAAGTTTCTGTCTGTGTTAAATCTAGTGTTGTTAAAGGGAAGAAAAACACTGAGTAAGGAGGATATTACTAGCATTGTTTATACTGTGAGTGGTACAGATGTCTACCATGTTTTTCTGTACCTGGAAGAAATAGCCTTTAAAAAAGTCTCCAGAGTGAATGGAAAAAGATTTATAAACTGATTACCTTTTGCAAAAACATTATTCAAATGACTTTTTGTTGTTATTTAATAAATGAATTAGCAGCCTAGGTGATGGGAGTGAGGCCCTGTCTCAAAAAAAGTCAGAAAAGCTTAGTCTCTATAGAATCGCTTGAACCCGGGAGGCGAAGGTTGCAGTGAGCTGAGATCGCGCCACTGCACTCCAGCCTGGGCGACAGACAGAGATTCCGTCTCAAAAAAAAAAAAAAAAAAAAAAAAAAAAAAAAAAAAAAAAAAAAAAAAAAATCTCCATAGTGAAACTGATATTACCATGTTAAAATTCTCATTCCTCCTGTATCATGATGAACTGATTATTACAGGAGCCTCCAAGGAGGTAGTTTGAAGACAAGAAATTGACTACTCTATTCCATGAAAAGGTTTTCCCATATATCCTCAATACTTTTTGATAAATAAAGTAACATTCTGGTGTCTGCATTAGTCTTCTAAAACTTGCACTAATGTAAATCAGCTACAAATATCTCATTATGTTTTGACAAAATTAAAACTTATGGGGAAACATTTATCTATAATATGGTATAGTAAGTATTACAATACAAACATACAAAGTAATAGCAAACATTAATAACAGAGTTATGAATCCATGTTAAAGGAGAAAGCCATACAAAGGAGGGGTTTTCTAACTGATTCTGCAGGAGAAGGAGTTTACTCAGATCCTTCTGGGCTCTGAAGTTCTTTGAAACATTTATCTTTGCTAATCATGAAAACTCAGTATGACTTGGTGCTTATGAATGTATTCTAAAACATACATTTTTATTTAAGTTGGTGCTTTTACCATAAATATATGAAAGTATTTATTTCTATTGACAACTTTAAAATGCTCAGCACATTACATTGCTTTTCATATTTCTTTTCGGATTTTCTGCCTTCTTTCTCTCAGAGTGCCTCCACAGAACAGCTTTGCTGGAGTCATTTCCCTGGCAGAAGGGAGGCAAATTTCTGGAGCATCTACATGGCAAAAACTGATGAAATAGTGTGCTCCAAAATTCCAAATTAGGTGCCAAAGTCCTCATTCAGTGCTCTAAAGAGCAAAAAGGCACAGAAGGTCCTATTTCACTGGCCTCACACAACTGAGGACCTAGAAGCATAATCAGGTGTTGAACAGTCATATCTGAGGCTCAATGCATTACAAAATCATAATATCATAAAAATGGAATTCACTTATGTTGCACTTAAATAAATACATTGTGTTCATTTACTACCTTTCTAGGGAAAATCCCAAAGAGAAAAAAACATATGAAAAGGTTATGAATCATTTTATTTTTGTCTGCAAAATGAAAACTGGCAAAAAAAGACCAGCTTTATTCTATATCAGTATAATGCATTTGTTAGCAAATAACCTAAGTACTTTTGTGTATTCTTTAGTAGTAGCCCTTTCTTAACACGTTCTTGTGCTATACAGCTATAAATGGAGATATAAATTAAAAGAATAGTTGTAGAAACACATTACATGAATGAAAAAAGATCAGTGCATTTACACCTAAGTCCCTCCATGTCTTTACCCAGCCTTCCACAAAGTTGCTAAATAGTGTAATGGAAAAGGTGCATCTTGGAAAAGGCAGAGAGATTGCTGATTAGTACATATGTAAACTTTGCCAAGTAACTTATTCCCTGAGAGTCCTAGGGCCCTCTTCTGTATAAGGGCTAAGCCTACTTTGCAAGGTAATTCCTAAGAGTCAAGATTCTGGCAAGAATATGAACTTGCCTTTAATAAAGATTGATAAATCAACCAATGAGGGGATGAATGAAAGAACTTATACTCCAGAAAAGCTTGATGAACTTCAATTTCCTAAGTTTGCAATCAGTTACCTTGGTCAGCCAGTGGACATGCACAGCGCAGGGAAACTAGTCAGTGACCATACCCAAACACAGGGCAGAGCCTGTGGTCTCACCCAATTGTAGAGCACAGTCTGACGCTCTGACCAATCATAGAGCCCAGACTGCAGCCCATTCCTGAAAATGTAGCAAGAAGCCAGCAGCACTACTTGGCTGGGGAGCACATCCTGGGGCCCCAGCTAGCTTGGCGTGATAATGGAACCCATTCTGAAGCTCAGTCCAATTGCTGAGTCCAACTAGCAGCACCACATGGGCAGGGAGTATAGACTGTGACCCCATTTGACCAAAGGTGATTGTGGAGCCAAGCCTGAATGCAGAGCTCATCCAGCAGCCCTGCCTGACTATGGAGTCAGCCAGTGGTCAAACCTAAACTGAGAGCATGGACGGTGGCCCTACCAAATAAGAGATCTTGACAGTTAGCCCTACCTGCCTGTAAATGCTACCAGCTGGCCCATCCAGAAGCACAGGTTGAACTGACTAGAGAAGGACTTTCTCTGTTAAAGTAAATGTCTAAGGGCTGGAAGAGGTGGCCATTTCCTCAAATGTACGCATACCAATGCAGGGATCAAGGAAACAATATACCACTAAGTAAATTAATAAAGCTACAATAACTGACCCTAAAGAAATGGAGATGTATGAACTGACTAACAAAGAATCAAGAAAAACCCTTTAAATGAAGTTCAGTGAACTACAAGAAAACATGGAAATTAAGCAAAATTAGAAAAACAATAAATGAACAAAACTGCAAGTTCAACAAAGAAAGATAAATATTTTTAAACTATAGAGAGAAAAAAATTAAGAGCTGAAGAACACAATGACTAAACTGAAATTTTGAATAGAGACCCATGATAGCACACTCAAGTGGAATAAAGAGTCAGTGAACTTGAAGACAGGTTGTTTGAAATTATCCAGGAAGAATAGCAAAAAGAAAGAATAACAAAAAGAAGTGAGTGAAGAAAATCTGCAAGACTTAAGGCATACCATCAAGCAAAACTATATATTATGGAAATAAGAGGGGAGAGAGAGAGAGAGAAAGAGAGAGAGAGAAAGTTGCAGAAAGTGCAGAAAGTCTATTTAAAGAAATTCTCCAAATTTGGGGTGAGAAATGGACATCCAGATTCATGAGACCCAAATAGTCCTAAATAGGTTTAATCTAAAAAGGTTTATTTACACTGAAACACATTGTAATAAAATTGCCAAAAGTGAAAGACAAAGAGAGAACTTTGAAAGCACAAGAGAAAAGTGACATCACATAGAAAGGAGCCTCAATTAGACTATTAGAGTATTTCTCAGCAGAAACCTCAGCAGACAGTGGGGTGATATGTTTAAAATATTGAAAGAAAAAAATCTTCCAGTCAACCATACTATACATAGCAAAGCTATTCTATAGACATGAAGACAGAGATAAAGGCTTTTCTAAATGAACAAAAACTGAGGAAGTTCCTCACTACTAGAATTGCCTTACAAGAAATGCCACATGGATTACTTCAAGCTGAAATGAAAACATTAATTACAATGTAAAAACATATGAATATATAACACCAGATAAGGTAAATATAGAGTTAGATTTAGAATTCTTTAATACTGTAATGGTGATACATAAATCACTTTCAACTTTGGTATAAAAGGTAAAAAACAAATGTATTAAAAATAACGATAATTATAATAATTTGTTATTGGACACACAATAAAACAAATGTAAGCTGTAACAGCAACAACTTAAAATGAAAAGGGGGAAATAAGTAAAACTATGGAGTTTTCTACATGATCAAAGTTAAGTTTTTATAGCTTAAGTAGGACGTTATAACTATAAAATATTTTATTTAAGCCATATATTAACTATAAAGGAAATCTGTAGTAAATAAAGAAAGGTTTAACAGAAAGGAATCAAAGTATGCTGCCACAAAAAAGTCATCAAGTCACAATAGAAGACAAAAAAAGAAGAAGAAAGGAACAAGGAAATTAACGACAGTCAGAAAACAATCAGCAAAATGGCAATAGCAAGGCCTTATCTATTACTCTCAATGTAAATGAATTAAATTCTCAAATCAAAAGACAGAGTGGCTAAATGGATTAAAAAACAAAATCCAGGAACCATGATGCCCACAAAAGACTCATTTTGGATTTAAGGACACAAATAGTCTAACAGTGATGGAATAAAAAAAGATATTCCATGCAATGAAAATCAAAAGAGAGCAGGGGTGACTAAATTTACATCGGAGAAGATAAAGTGGAAGTGATAAATGGTCATAAGAGACAAAGAAGGTAAATATATAATATTAAAGAGGTGAATTCATCAAAAAGATATAACAATTGAAATACGTATGCATCCAGCATTGGAACATGTAAATATATCAAGCAAATGCTAACAGAACTGAAAGGAGACATAAATAGCAATTTTATAATAGTAGGAAATTTTAATAGTAGGAAACAAGGAATAGATAATCACATGAAAATCAATAAGGAAACAGTGGTTTTTAACAACACTATAGACCAAATTACCTAACAGATATAAACAAAACATTTCATCCAACAGAAGCAAAATACACATTCTTCTCAAATACACATAAAATATTCCATAGGAAAGATCATATGTTAGATCCCAAAACATCTCTTAATAATTGCAAGAAGACTAAAAAAAAAATCAAGTACTTTTTGGGCCAAAATGGTATGAAATAGGAAATCAATAATAAAAGAAAATTGAAAAATTCTCAACTATATGGATATTAAACAACACACTCCTAAACAAGAGATATTTAAATAAAAAATCAAAAGAAATAAAAAATTGTGATATGAACAAAAATGGAAAAAATGACATTTATGGAATGCAGCAAAAATGTTCTAAAAGAAAAGTTTAAAGCTATAAATGCCCACAAGAAAAACAGAAGGATCTAAAATAAGCAATCTAATTTTATACCTTACAAAACTAGAAAAAGAACAACCAAAGCCCACATTTGGCAGAATAAAAAAAAATAAAGTATTATTTATTAAATAAATGAAATAGAGAATAGAAAAACAATTGAAAAGGTCAACAAAATGAAGGGATGGTTTTCTGAAAAGCTAAACAAAATTGATGAAACTTTACCTAGACCAACCAAAAAAAAAAAAAACAGAAAATAGAGACAGAAGACTCAAATAAATACAATTATAAATGAAAGAGGAGATATAACTGATATTACAGAAATACAAAGAATCATCAAAATCTACCATGAACATATATCAACAAATTAGACAACCTAAAAAATGAATAAATTCCTGGAAACATATAACCTATGAAAACTGAATCATAAAAAAAGGCACAATGATGAATAAAGAAATTTAATTGGTAATCAACAGCCTCCCAAGAAAGAAAAGCCCAAACCATATAGCACCTTTGAAAAACAGATAGACTATAGATTACTACACATGTGAACTTTGCCAAATAATTTATTCCCTGAGAGTCCCAGTATCCCCAGTATTCGCTGATGAATTCTACAAAACATTTAAATAATAATTAATGCCAATTCTTCTTAAGCTTCTCCAAAAAAATTGAAGAGGGAGGCTGGGCGCTGTGGCTCACGCCTGTAATCCCAGCACTTTCGGAGGCTGAGGTGGGCAGATCACCTGAGGTCAGGAGTTCAAGAACAGCTTGGCCAACGTGGTGAAACCCCATCTCTACTAAAAATAGAAAAACTAGCTGGGCATGGTGGCATGCACCTGTAATCCCAGCTACTTGGGAGGCTGAGGCAAGAGAATTGCTTGAACCTGGGAGGCAGATGTTGCAGTGAGCCAAGATCATGCCATTGTACTCCAGTCTAGGTGATAAGAGCAAAACTCTGTCTCAAAAAAAAAAAAAAAAAAATTGAAGACAGAAGGAGCACTTCCAAACTCATTTTATGAGCCCATTATTACCCTGATATGAAAATTGGATAAAGACAATACAAGAAAAGAAAATTACCAGCCAATATCTCTGATGAACAGATGCAAAAATTCTCAAAATACAGCAAATTGAGTTCAATAGCACATTAAAAGTTTCGTACACCATGATCAGCTTTGATTTATCCCTGGAATGTAAGGACGGTTCAGCATAAACAAGTCAATAAATACAACCCATCGTATTAACAGGAAGAAGAATGAAAATCTGTAATGATAATTTCAGTAGATGCCCAAAAAGCATATAGCATAATTCCACATTCTTTCTTGATAAAAACCTTCAACAAATTGGGTATAGAATGAATGTACATCAACATAATAATGGTCATAGATGATAAGTCCACAGCTAACATCATCTTCAGCAGTGAAAACCTGAATTCTTTTAAGATCAGGAAAGTGACAAGCATTCCCACTCTCATCACTTGTATTCAATATAGTACTGGAAATTCTAGCGATAGCATCAAGCAAGAAGAAGAAATACATGGCATCCAAATTGAAAAGGAAGAATTATATTATCTCTATTTGCATATAATATGATCTTATATGTAGAAAACCCTAAAGATTCCACCAAAAAACTCTGAGAGAACTAACAAATGAATTCATTAAAGTTGCAAGATGCAAAACAACATAGAAAAGTAATAGAGTTCTGTATACTAACAATGAACTTTCTAAAAAAGAAATTAAGAAAATACCATTTACAATAGACTCAAATCTATAATACTTAGGAATAAATGTAATCAAAGAGGTGAACAATCTGTACACTGAAAACTATAATTTTTTTTTTTTGAGGTGGAGTCTCACTCTGTTGACCAGGCTGGAGTGCAGTGGCATGATCTCAGCTCGCTGCAAGCTCCGCCTCCTGGGTTCACACCATTCTCCTGCTTCAGCCTCCCGAGTAGCTGGACTACAGGTGCATGCTGCCATGCCCGGCTAATTTTTTTGTATTTTTAATAGAGATAGGGTTTCACCGTGTTAGCCAGGAAGGTCTTGATCTCCTGACCTTGTGATCCGCCCGCCTTGGCCTCCCAAGAAAACTACAATTTTTAAGAAAGACGTTGAAGACAACATAAACAATTGGAAAAATATCTTCTATTCATGGATCAAAAGAATTAATATTGTAAAAATAGCCATACACTAACCAAAGCTATCTATAGATTCAATGCAATCTTTATCAAAATCCTAATGAGATTTTTCACAGAAATGGAAAAAAAATCCTATCATATGGAACCACAGAAGACCCCTAATAGTAGAAGTAATCTTGAGAAAGAACAACAAAGTTGGAGACATCACACTTCCTGATTTCAAACTGTATTACAAATCTGTAGTAATCAAAACAGTATGATACTGGCATAAAAACAGATGCATAGACCAATGGAATAGAAAGAAGAGCTGAAAAATAAACCCAGGCATATATAGTCAACTAGTATTTGATAAAAGTGCCAAGAATACACAATGGGGAAAGGAGAGTCTCTTCAACAAATGGTGTTGGAAAAACTGAATATGCACATGCAGAAGAATGAAATTGAACCTCTATCTTACACAACTCGCAAAATTTAACTCAAAATAGAATTAAAACTTAAATATAAATCATAAAACCACAAAACTCCTTTAAGAAAACACAGGGGAAAAACTCCTTGACACTGGTCTTGGCAATGACTTTTTGGAGATGAAACTAAAAGCACAAACCACAAAAGCAAAAGTAAGTAAGTGGACGATATCAAACTAAAATGATTCTGTACAACGAAAAAAACATCAACAAAATAAAAAAGCAACCAATGGAATGGTAGAGAATATTTTCAAACCATATACCTGACAAATGGTTAAAATAAAACTATATTAGAAACTCGTACAACTCAATAGAATAAAAGCAAATAATCCAATTAAAGAAACAGGCAAAGGGCTTGAACTGATATTTTTCCAAAGAAGACATATGGATGGCCAGTAAATACATGAAAATATATTCAATATAAGTGACCATAAAGAAAATACAAATAAAAACCACAATGAACTCTCACCCCACACCTGTTAGGATGGCTATTATCTAAAAAAAACAAGAGATAACAAATGTTTATGAGGATGTGGAGAAAAGGGAACCCTTGTGCATTGTTGATGGGAATAAAAATTGGTACAACCATTATGGAAAACAGTATGAAGCTTTTCAAAAAATTAAAAATAGAATTACCATATGATCCATCAATCTTGCTTCTGGGTATAAATCTGAAGGAAACAAAATCAGTATGTTGAAAAGATACCAGCACTCCCATGTTCAGTTCACATTATTCACAATAGCCAAGACAAACTAAAAAATTGTGAGATATACACAGACATACATACACACAAATTGTATTCAGCCATATCCAAGGAAAAAAATAAGGAAATCCTGCTATTTGTGATGAAATGGATGAAACTTGAAGGCATTATGCTAAGTAAAATAAGTCACACAGAGAAATACAAATGATGTATAATCCTGCTTATATGTGGAATTGAAAAATATCACTCAGAAATTAAGAGTAGAATGGATGTTGCCAGGGGATGGGGCTTGGGGGAAATGAGAAGTTCAAAGGATACAAAATATAAGCAGAAGCTCTGGGGAGCTAATGCACAGCATGCTGACTAAAGTTAACAATACTGTATTTTACATTTGAAATTTGCCAACAGAGTAGACCTTAAATGTTGTCACCTCACAAATACACACACACACACAAACACACAAAATGGTAACTAGGTTAGGTGAGAGATCTTTTAACTAACTTGATTGTGGTAATCCTTTCATAATATATAGGTATATCAAACCATTATATTGTATACTTTATACAATTTTGTCAATTATACCTCAATAAAGCTTGAAAATGAAACAGAATATTTAAAAAGAATGTTTGTTAACTTCTCAGGGTTTTAATTGCCTCATTTGTAAAGGAGGGATAATAATACCTAGCTTATAGGATTGCTATATTCAATGAGTTAGTACATGCAATTCATTGAGAATAGTGCTTTGGATATAAAGAGCTCTTAATAAATTATAATGTTATTCAAGATCCCCTCCTCTTGAAATTTCATTCTATCTATCATCTAATTGTAGTTCAAATGCCATTCTACTTACAAAATTGTATATGCTCATCCTTGTCATAAGTTGAATATATGTATTGGCTCTCGTTGAATAGCACACTACCCTGAAACTTGATAGGTTAAAACAATTCACACTATCTTGTATAGTTTCTGAGAGTAAGGGGTCTGAGAACAGCTTAGCTGGGTGGTTCTGAATTGAGGGTTTTCTCAGAGGTTGTAATCAAGTTGTAGACTGAGGCTGTAGTCATCTCAAAGTTTTACTGAGACTGGAGAATTTACTGTTTACAGCCTCGGCTCCTATCAGCTGCTAGCTAGAGACCTTCATTCTTTCCCACATGGGCCTGTCTACGAAACTGTTCTACAGGGTCACTAGCTTCTGCCAGAGCAAGTGACTTGAAGAGAGAGAGAGAGAAAGAGAGAGAGCACAAAATGAAAACAAATGTCTTTTTATAACCTAATCTCAGAAGAGGTATAACATTATTTCTGCCTTGTTCTATTTGTTAGGGGAAAGTCACTAGGTCTAGCCCATTCTTAGGGGAAAAAGAACTAAATTTCAACTTCACCTCTTTAAGAGAGTAGTATAAAAGAATTTGTGTACATATTTTAAGAACCACTACAATGTCCTTCCTCCCAACTGATACTTTCAGGCCAGATCTTTCTCCTGAGCTCTAGAGATGGTAGCCAACTTCCCTAAGGAAACCTCAGAGGCAGCCTTCAATTTATCCCCTCCATTCATGCTTAATTTCAACCAATCTTCAAGTTTTTTCAAGTGTAATTCCTAAATATCTGTTGAACATTCCCACTTTTCTATAGACCTACTGCTATCCTTTTAGCTTAGAATAAGCTCTTCTCTGAAACCCTTGCTGATCTATTGCAAGAGCATGTGAGGTCACTTCCCCTGTAGAGTTCTGAGACAGAGTGGGACAAGACTTGGCCCTCACTGGGATTTAGCCCCCAGCCCCACTAACATTTTTTCTCCATATCCAGCAATTACCAGATCATGCACTGTCACTATCCCTGCTGACTGCATTGCCCACATGCACACAAGACCAGAAAAATGACTTACCTTTACTCCATGTTTCATTATAATACTAAACTCCCTTCCCAGGAAGGGGCTTATCTGCCATTTTTTGATCACATCATGTATGTACTAACATGATTTCTCACTGTACCTGCATACCCTGAGCTCCACCCCACACATGTTATGACTGTTCATGTACCTCAGGCATTTTCACATCACTCTTCCTAAAACACTGCAAAGACCTGTCCTCAAGGAGGTAGCCAAAGAGCTCTCGCTCCAGCGCTGTCTCCCTTGTGTTCAAGCATAAGTCCCTAATAATGCTCTGTCTGGGGAACTTGCTTGACCTCATGTGAATTTCTATTTCATGGGAGCCCAAGAACCTGTGTGTTGTGGGAAGTCAGGGACCCCGAACGGAGGGACCAGCTAAAGCCATGGCAGAAGAACATAAATTGTGAAGATTTCATGGACATTTATTAGTTCCCCAAATTAATACTTTTATAATTTCTTATGCCTGTCTTTACTGCAATCTCTGAACATAAACTGTGAAGATTTCATGGACACTTATCACTTCCCCAATCAATGCCCTTGTGATTTCCTACACCAGTCTTTACTTTAGTCTCTTAATCCCGTCATCTTCATAAGCTGAGGAGGATGTATGTCACCTCAGGACCCTGTGATGACTGCATTAACTGCACAAATTGTTTGTAGAGCATGTGTGTTTGAACAATATGAAATCTGGGCATCTTGAAAAAAGAACAGGATAACAGCAATGTTCAGGGAATAAGAGAGAACCTTAAACTCTGACTGCTGGTGAGCCAGGCAGAAGAGGGCCATATTTCTCTTCTTTCAAAAGCAAATGGGAAAAATATTGCTGAATTCTTTTTCTCAGTGAGGAACATCCCTGAGAAAGAGAATGCATCCCTGAGGGTAGGCCTCTGAAATGGCTGCTTCAGGGGCGGCTGTCTTTTATGGTCACAGCTGTAGGGATGAAATAAGCCCCAGTCTCCTGTAGCGCTCCCAGGCTTATTAGGATGAGGAAATTCCCAATAATTTTGGTCAGACCGGCTGGCTGTCTGCGCTCAAACCCTGTCTCTTGATAAGATGCTATCAATGACAATCTGTGCCTGAAACTTCATTAGCAATTTTAATTTCACCCCGGTCCTGTGGTCCTGTGATCTTGCCCTGCCTCCGTTTGCCTTGTGATATTCTATTACCTTGTGAAGCATGTGATCTCTGTGACCCACACCCTATTCATACACTCCCTCACCTTTTGAAAATCACTAATAAAAACTTGCTGGTTTTGCAGCTTGGGGGGCATCACGGAACCTGCTGACATGTGATGTCTCCCCCGGACACCCAGCTTTAAAATTTCTCTATTTTGTACTCTGTCCCTTTATTTCTCAGACCAGCCAACACTTAGGGAAAATAGAAGACAAACTACGTGAAATATCAGGGCTGAATTTCGCCTGATATCTGTGGTGGGTAAAAGCTTTTTAAATTCATCCTGTATAGACTTCTTTCCAAATCAAAATATCCCATCATAACCTTTCTCTAATCCCTGTCATGTTTCTCCAGCACCTTCAGGATAAAGTCTAAACTGTCTTAAATGGCTTAGAAGATCTTTCATGATTTAGCCTCTTCTCTAGACTTAAGTGTGATCACACCTCCTCAACCCCCAACTCCTCAGTCAACATTTTAGCTACCTATGTGAATAGTTATGCAAATGCCTTTATTACCATTAAAAATGCTATTCCCTGTACGTGAACTAAGTTTATACCTCTGGTATACCTGACTCTTCATCTATCTGGCTCATCCCTATCATCCTTCAGTTTTCCATTTTATGTAAGTTCCTCTGAGAAGTTTTACTTAAATTCCTTTAATAACAACTGCCCCACACTTTGACATTGAACTGTGTTCTTATTCCCATAGCAACATTTATCACCCAGTCTTGTGATTGCTTATTTAATTATTATCTACATTTCCACCCGACTAGTTTGCTTTTCCAGACTATCATTTTCATGTTATATTACCAAAGTCTAGCATAACATCCACCATATAGTAGAAATACATTGAATAGTTGCTAAATGAATGCATAATAATCACATTTTATATAACTGGTTTTATAATTACAAGGCTGGGCCACACTGTAATTTTCTGGTTATTTTACCATCTGTACTCAATGTGAAGCACTTGAAGGATCTTATCTTTCTTTTTTTTCCCCCTTTAATCCCTTATAGGGCATAGCTTTACATCTTTCCTTTAGGGGAAAAATTATGCAAAATTTTTTAAAAGACTATCAATAAAAATTTATACTAAGTCCCACACTGTAGTTAGCAAGTGGAAATACAAAGGTGAATACATTCCTCAGGAGGCTGACATCTAGTAGGAGTATAGACTTGCAGGGAATAAAGGGAATAAACTAGGGAAAGTGTACTGAAGCCAGATTTGGATGACCTGCTGCCTCGCCAGACATAAATTAGCTAGGTTAATCTGGGTGAACATTGACGGCATATCTCACATTCATCATGCATAAAACAAAGGAGGTCTCCTAGAAATATGGTGGGCTACATCAATGACACCTCACTTCTCACAACACATACATTAAAATGCTGGATAGCGTATAAGCAAACACTTTTTTAAGTACATAGCAAGTTCAGAAAACAAACCAAATCAACCAAACAAACAAATAAACATTTGGCAAAAATAAAGCGAAAACCAAAAAAGCTAAACCCTCTAGCGGATGCCATGATAGCTCAGGCAGTTACAGACTCTTTTATTTGTTGTTGTTTAGTTTTTCTTTCTTTTTTTGTTTGGCTACAGAATCTAGGACCTAGTATTTTAATGCCTTGGTCTCAAATGAGACAAGAAGTTGGATTTAAATCTTACATGAACCAGAAATTTGTAGGGCTGTCTTCTTTCTGAAAAAAGACCAGAAAAAATTCAATCACTGACTCAGAATAGCAGAAAGAAGCCTGCTATTTTCCTGGAATTCTGAGAGGAAAACAATGAAACAATAATGTAAAATTTCTTCTGATAAATCAAAATTCCTAGCCAGTGCCATATACAGTTTGTAATTTGAAGTCAACCTTATATTAATATAATAGTTATAGAATCTCAAACCAAAAATTTAACATAAAAAGTAGTGAAAGATTGGTCCTGGGATATAAATATGCCAACTTAAAAAAATCAATCTAGAATAATAGTTAATATATATAGGATATATATTTATATGTAATATATAATAGTACTCTAGAATTATATATAAAAATCATCAAATAAGAGCTCACCAAAAAACTGTAAATATACATGGAGAGATGAATTACTTTATGGAGAGCCGGTTGATACTGAAAATCATCTAAAATAAAATTTCAGAAAGTGCATATAATAGAGGAATCTAAGAGTATAGAATATGATTAAAACAGAGAAGTAAATGACTGAACATGAATTATAAGAAAAAAGCAGAATAACGTAAAAAATAAAAGGGAATATTTAAAATAGAATAATAAAAATAAACAGTCAATGAAATTTTTTTGAGTACATTAGAAATAGCTAAAGTGAGGAATGCATACACTGGAAGATAGATATGAGGAAATTAAAGAGAAGGCAATCCAGAGTGATTAAAAGCAGGTAATTATGAAGACCAAGATATGCATGGTTTAAAAATGTCTAGTATAAACCTAAAAGAAGTTCCAGAAGAAGAAAACGGGGAAAATGCAGGAGAATGATAACAGCTATGAGTTTACCAGATTTATATAAACATAAGATTCCTCATTGTAGAAAAATATCAAGCCCTGAGCAGATAAGCAAAAAGAAATCACACTCTAGACATAGTGCTGTATAACTGTAAGACATCAAAGACAAAGTGAAAAATCTTAAGCAACAGAGAGAAAAGGCAGAATTAGTTATTTGACTGATAAAAGACTTTTCATTAGCAAAGTGAGAAATAAGAAACAACGGATAAATATTTTTAAAGGACCAAGGGAAAATAACTGTCAACTACAAATTTTATTATTGGCTAATTTATTGTATAGGAGAGTGATCAGATAAATAAATTATCAGTATGAAAAACAAAATGCAAGAAGTTGCCTCATGTAACCGTGGTGAAAAGAATTGATGATATTTAGTCATTAAGAAGAAAATTGATTCTAGAAGGAAGGAATAGAATCGAGATAAAAGAAGCAACAATAAGTGCAAATTGGTAAACATGGTGATGATTTCAAATAGCATTGACTGTAAAAACATCAATTATAATTAGTTTAGGGGCATTTTAAACAAGGGGGAAATTAATAGATAGAAATAATGTGTAATTTAAAATGGTGGATAAGAATTAAAATATCCTGAGGTCCTTTGAGAGAAATACACAAATATTTATTCTAGATTGTAGATCAAGTATGCATACAAAAGTTTTAAGACTAATTACTAAGTAATGAAAATGAGATGCTTAATATCTGAATCATGGGAATAGGTCTGGATTAAAATATTTTGATTAATCTGGTATAGAAGAATTGATGGGGTGGTGAAATGGAAGCTAGAACAGGGCAAATAAAAAATAAAAAGATGTATAGTTAAGTTCAGACAATAATTCCTTTTAATAATTTAACTGCTACTTTATAAAGAGCAAACATTATTCTGGTTTGTATTTAATTTGAATTAAATATATTCTATGACTTACATGTATACTTTATTTAAAAATGATATAAATGCGTAAAGACAGAGATTCTGAAATTAAATTTAAAATAAGTTAGAATCCAATTAAAAACAATTAAAATCTAATGTTGAAAATGTACACACTTAAAGACTTAATGTCATAAGGAGTTTGACAGAAAAGGAAATGACAAAATATTAATGAAATGAAAATTAAAAAGAGAATTGATACAATGTTAAGTGCAAACAAAATAGTTTTAAAGGGTTATTAGCAACAAAGAACAATTTTACTTATAAATGAAATGAACAGTACAAGAGGAAAAGGTAACCGTATTGATCATATATCCACTTGACTACATATTCTTACAAGGCATAAAGAAAGAAATTAAGAGAACTACAAGGAAGAATTGGCAAATGCACAATTGTACTGTAAGATTTTATCATACCATTCTGAGAAACTGAAAACAGACAAAAAAGTAGTGCAGGTAAAATGAGATGCTGTTTATAGTACCTAGAAACATTATCTTCCCTTCCCAATAAAATTCATTTAATAAGCTATAATAAAGATAGGGTCATTAGATTACTCAATACTGTTTTTATATGAGCACTTAATAGTTGAGTTTGACACATAAAAATAATTATCTTTATGAAAAAGTTTTTCATAACAGGAAATGAGTACAATCTGGGCAGTACTTTTTAGCAAGAAAAGTTTAAAAGTGATTTATTTAAAGTGAAAATGGAAAGTTACCTTCAAGATTGGTTCGATCTTGGGTAACTCTCTTACTTATGTAAATATGAAACAGTATACTTCCATTGTCCTAGGAGGCACCCATAAGAAACGTGCAGCCAGAGCTTTACATTTTCATTGAGAGCAGCCACTGACCACCATCCCCTTGGCTCCCCAGACTGCTCTTCACTTGGGAGGAGATGAGCTAATGTATACAGGAGCACCTTAATGGAAGCGATACAGATCTAAACATTCCTTTAAAGAACAAATAATATCATAATGTTTTGCATGGAGTGAGATAATGCCAACTGAAATCTGCAGGCAAGAAAGATGCCAAAAGCCCCCACCCCAAAAAACTTAGAGGTGAGAAAACGGGGAAGACTAGACTGGGGCTTCTGTGCTCAATCTCAGGGTTGTCTTGATTGAGAGTTATTTGGAAAATAATGGCTGACAGCTTCTGTTTGAAGTGTGTGTGTATGTGCGTGTATATAATTCCTTTAAATCTCACCAAATACTCATCCTTTCACAGCTCAATGAGGAACAGCTATATGACTCTCTCATGTACATGAGTTTGAAGCACCTTCCTATTTATTCTCTGGCACTATTAGGTGTGCTTGGGGGGAAATGGTTGAAAGTGAAGCATAAAGTCAAGAGTAGAAAATACTGGAAATGCTCAACAGAGTGGGACTATCTTCTCTAGAGAAAACATCCTGTCCTGCACAGAGATCTGGACCAGCAAGGACATAATCACAGCTGTGGACAGAGTGGCAACAAATTGTGCAGGTCCTATTTTCAACAGTGGCACCCTGTGGCAGACAGAAGTAAAGGCAGGCAAATGGTGAGGAACGATCTTATTTTTCATCTTTCTCTACTTTGATTTTAAAAGTAGGACTGGGCTTTTTGACCAAGAAGAGACAAGGAGAGGAAAGCCAAGTGCCCTGCTAATTAGATAGGGAGGTAACTCAAGTGGTTTTGGTAAGTATTGCAAAAAGAGGACATCGTATTTCCTACTCTGTACTATGGTGCATACGGGTTTCATCTGTTCTCTCAGCAGTCACAAAACCAGATTGTTAAACTCAGTGCCAATGATTTCAAGACATTTCTCTCAAAGAATCCTTCTGCCTTTTGGACATGGCGCCAGGATTTTTTTTCCTTGTTTTTGTTTTCAATAACTAAATAATGAGATTTTATATTATAATTAATTTAATTCATAGATTCCTCAAATCTTCTTGAAAATAGGCAGAATAATATGTTAAAAATAGTAAACTATTTGAATTTTTTCATAGCTATAATCCAAATGGAACACACAAATTACCACCAAGCTATTTTATGGCAATAACAAGAAGCTCTCATCTTGTGAAAGTGTTCATGAAGGACCAATAGAAAGAAAGAATGTGCACCGATGAGACACTGTAGGCTTCTACACAGATTTGCTAGGAAACATAATGTTTCTTTCTTTCTTTTTTATTTATTTATTTATTTTGAGACAGAGTCTTGCTCTGTCACCCAGGCTGGAGTGCAATGGTACGATCTCGACTCACTACAACCTCTGCCTCCCAGGTTCAAGCAATTCTCCTGCCTCAGCCTCCTGAGTAGTTGGGAGTCCAGGCAGCACCACCATGCCTGGTTAATTTTTGTATTTTTAGTAGAGACGAGGTTTCACCATATTAGTCAGGCTGATCTCAAAATCCTGACCTTATGTGATCCACCCACCTCGGCCTCCCAAAGTGCTGGGATTACAGGTGTGAGCCACTGCACCTGGCTGGAAACATAACATTTCTACCATTCAACTCAAGTTTCAGATCTTAAGCAATGATAGACTTGATTCCTATTTCAGGCCTTGTAAGTACAGGTACTAGGGAATGTAAGGCACAAAGGTGTTGCACATCAGGGGATTTGTGTGTCTATATTTTTGCCTCTTGTAATCTCATGGAGCTGAAGTTGCATGCCCCCTAGTCTAGGGAGGAATGGGCTCAAACAGCTCCCCGTAGGTCTAATCACCTTTACCAGTCTCATAGGACTATCCATGCTCTGTATCACCACCCCAGCACCCTCTCATCCCCCAACTGCATTGTAGCCCACTCAGGCACATTTCAAATAATTCAGAATTGTGCTAGAGCAATTTGCAAAGACATTTTCAATTAAAATGCAATTCGCAATTTCCTAATCTTACAAAAAGATATATTCTATTATAATAACTGTAATGTAATTACAATTTATAGTAAATATTAAGGCAATTTTCTTATGGTAGTAAATGCCGAGAGGATCTATTGCCTTATGTAGAATTTTAGAATTTACCTTTCTTTGTCTAACCTTTTTCTCTGTCAAACCCATTAATACCCATTTTATTGCTGAAGTCTTACTAAAGAAACAGGTTACCCCAAAAGGAAACATTATGGTATATTCCATTAAACACAGTAAAACTTTAAATTTCATATAAAAATAGGTTATCCAATTACATGGTAAATGTGTCATTTGTTCATTGTCCAGTACACAATATATTTACAGGAAAATTACCAGGAACTTCTCAGCTGTATCAGAGCTCAACCTTATATTTAGATGCAGTCATATATTACTGCTGATAATGTGATGTCAGTGAATAGATTGGAGTTTTTCACTGTCCTTTATCAAGATAAATTGTTCTGTCAATAGCCAATGGCTGGCAAGTAATAACACTCTGCACACTATATGACTTTTCATTCCCTGCAAAAATTGTATTTAATGCTTTTGCACAAAATCTATGGCCGTGACTATCCTTATTACTTATTTAACTACCTTTTAAAAGGAGGATTTATTTCTGCAAATTAGGACCAGGGTAACAAGATGGTATCATGCACCATAAACTTTAAGTCAATACAAGGCAGGACACTTGCAGTTTGAATGGGAAAATACCTTGCTCTCATCTCTTGGTCATCCAATAGTATTAGCAATCTGTGGTGGGAGCAGCTGCTCAGAGCAGAAATTTATCTTGGCCTCCTTCCATCTCCACTGCCACGATGTCCCACAGTAGCAATTTGCTCATTGGCCTATTACTTTCAATAGGTATTTCAGTAATTGGCTATTTCACACTTGTAAGGCTTGAACTGGCAGAGAGCAAAGGCCAGGCAACCAGTCTGTCAGGGTCTAGCAAGCTGGTCATTCATCAATTATAATCAGCTTTTACAAGAGTGAGTGAATCCTCTGAAACCTTGTTTGCTCTGATCAGCTTTGCTACCAGTATAATTTGACCCTAAACTGAGCTGAGTCCTTATCTGAAGGATGTAAAAGTTGTTCTACAGTGACAAGCATGTTTGTTTATTCAGACCCCTGGAGAGACTGATTCGGGCTCAAAGAGGGGAAAGGGAATATGTTGATAATCTTGAGAATTCTGGGTTTCTTCTGCTTTTGTAGCTACTTGCTATCCGTCAACACAACACCCTTTCTTTTGCTAAAAATAAACATTCAAAGGGCATCAAAATAATTTATTTCATAATGATTAATTATACAAGAGAGGGTCATCAAATTAAGAATTGAATTCCTGTAAGATGAGGTTTACTCTGGCCTGAGAGGTTGGGAGTCTTTTGCAATCATGTGGGTTATTTTAGAAACATCTATTTAAATAGAACATACAATTTAAAAAAAAACACACATTATAATAGCTGAACCAATGTATGTGCTCATGTGCACAATCAATTACTTGATTTAATATGATCGAGGCTAAGCTAGAAAAACAATTTGCTAGAAACTTTAGGTCCATAGCAATAAATCACTATGGGCTTCATTCACATATAAGAATAGCATTTTTTCTCTTCTTAGCCATCCCCAATATCTTTTATTATTTCCCATTTTACTGAACTCTAAGAGAACAGAAAAACCTGACACAAATTTAAGTTTTCGAGAAAAAAATCTGAAACTTAGATAATATGTAAGACTTTGCAAAATTCAAATGAGGTGCAACTGTCCCAGCAGTTTTAGGTCCTAGGCATGTGGGTCACTGCTAATTTATGTAACTCACCCTAGGGGGCTAGAAAAACTACATTTGTATAATTTAGAAACAGAGAAAATGCATGTTAACATCCAGGATTTATTTTTTTCTCCCCACTGGCATCTCTTTCTTCAAAAAGAATAAGACAATCCCTACTTGAAATGCATGTGTACAAAATTGCTAATGGAAATAACCAATCTTTATTACAATGTCTGCTACTTGCCATCCACCAGTACCTATGATTCCCATACTACGAATCCTATATTCCCCCTTCCCAAAGGCCAATTCAGTCTGTCGACCAGCTGATGACAAGGTGATCTGTCATCTAGCAACTGCCTTGAGCACAAATAAAATACACAACCAAAAATGGAACCTGTTTAGTAGGGATTTTCATAAAATTTCAACTTAAAAACTGTAAAGGATAGATGATTTAGAAAGCTGTTAGAGATGCTCAAAAATCAATTCTAAATTTTGAAAAGACATGAGTAAAGCTCTTAATAAATCTACTTTCAAAGAGTTATGTACTCTTACTAGTTGAATAAATGAAGTGACACTGACGCATATCTAATTGTAATACATCACAAGATAATCTGTCAAGCCCAAGTGCTCAGGCCCTGTCACCCCACTTCATCCATTATTTATCTACAACCTTCATTGTCAGCAAAATCCCTATGAGGCATGTAGTATGGCATTGAAGACTGAGGTTCTGCCACTCAGAAAAAAACTTTCAGAAAGCTTACTGGATAATAATTATTAAACACTGTGTAAATGATTACTGTGGGAAGGGTACATTTAAAAAGCACCAGAATTATCCCAGAAAAAATAATGACACATTTCATTTAGCTGGCCAATACACTGGATGTTCCATACTAACAAAGCTTACTTGAGTGAAACTATAAGGCCACCAAATGCCTTATCCTTGTCAGAGGGCAATCAAATCTCCATGATCTTCTTCCTTGTATTATTATATTAACTGGAAAGATGATAAAGTGAACTTACAACTTATAACACTGAACTTACAATATCTACTTCCGTAATAGACAAGCAAATGAAGGGCCCAGTGCCATTATTTTCTTTCTTTATTCTCTCCTCTTTCTTTTTAAACTGCTAAGTTGAAGAAGTTCCAAAGATGAGGAATTATACACGTTTAACCACTTTCTCAATGTGGAAAGCCTGTGTCTGGCAGTTGCTGGAAGGTAGTCGTCATTTTCTGCTCACCCTTTCTACCAGCACACATGGCCCTGCCCAATTTGCCTTTGCTAGCGACAGGGACCTGCCAAACAAATGCATCCTGAGCAAATGCATCTCCACCCTTATCACAACACAAGAACACCTCTGATTACTCCTGCCATCATGACCCTTGGCCATAATATGATTTATCTCCAAACTAGCACCCAAACAAATGAAATCTGAATAAATGCATCCTTAACAGATCCATCCTGAGCAAATGCAACCTGAACAAATGCATCCTGAACAGATGCATCTGGAACAGATGCATCCCAAACAGTTACATCCTGAATAAATACATCCTTAACAAATGCACCTGAACAAATGCAACTTGAATAAATGCATCCTGAACAAATGCATCTTGATTTTACAATCACAATTCCACAGTGTTGTTTATTTTGTCTGTTTGCTTATTTTTTCTTAAGGAATCACTATCATATTTCATAGTAAGCCTATTTTTTCAAATATGTTCTTAAATAATGAAGATAAAAATGCACATTTGAAACCATTTTAAGGATTCAGCCAGCTCCTCTGCTTCAGTCATGAGGGGGTAATAAAAACAAAAAGCTGCTTCAGGCATTTAGTAGTAGAAAATTACAGGTCCTCTAAATTAGGTGGCTATATTCCTCTCCCAGTCCAATTACTAGCTTTATTATTTGTCAATAAAATACCAAATAAAAGACTAGTCTCTAGATAAGACAGCTGTTGCCATTTGGACCCTGTGATACTTCATGCTCTCAAACTGTGGGGTGGAAGTTACTGATTACAGCTTCATATCACTAACAGGTGCCCTAAGGCCCAAATCTTGTGTACTTTTCTCTGGAAAGAAAAATTATAATAAAAGAACAGAACATATACATCATAGACAAGCTAAGATTATGCAAGTTGCTGTTTTATGGCCTTGTAACATTTGAACTTGAGTTTTGGAACATCCTTTGTGATTAATAAAAGTCATAATTAATGTAGGAATATCATAGCTAGAAGTCATTCTGGTGTGAGGCAGTAACTAAACTGCTTGCCACAGCCTCACACAATTCCTCCTAACTACATTGCATCTTGTTCCATAGCAGCTGCTTCCCATCACTTCCCTGGACAGAAGGGCAGCAGATTACATGCCTTTGCTACGGAGACCTATGTATCTCCTTGACAATGTGCAGGAAAGCCCACCATGTGGAAAAGACAAGTTTGCTTCTTTCATTTGAAGATAGATATATGCTAAACTTGCAGGATCATTAGGCTACTCTGTGAAAGAATAGATTTTCTTTCTTTAAGACTTTACTTCCCTAAAGAAAAAATATATATATAGCCTCCATCTTATGTAGCTTTTAAGAGAGCTGCAATTAGACAAAAATTCAAGCTTATTCCATTTGATATAAGGTTCTTATATTTGAAGAGTTTTTTAAAAATTATTATTTTTAATCAGAAGCCAGCTTCAGTCTTTGAAATCCAGATTCTCTTCTCTAATGTGGATCAAAATAAATTCTCCCACATTGAGAAGTATAAAAAAAATCCAGGCAAAATAAAGTAATTATAAGTTTATTTTCACTTTGCAAGCAAGGGTGGGTGGAGGAGTCTGGGCTCTACTTGATGATTGTGGCAGTACTAACAATTAATTTAGGACGATGGTGCGACATGAAAATAAAACTTCTTCTGATTGAATTTCAAGGACTCTTCTGTTTAACTAGCTTCAAGAGTCCTTTTTAGATCATAATAAAATTATTTGCCATATGGTTCAGATGTTTGTGATCCCCTCTCAATGAGAGGATTATGCATGAGATAAAATGCCTACTGTAGCTGCAGCCAAGCACACAGCTGGTTCTGATAATGCCAACAAATGGCTTCATCCATCTCAATGTCACGTAGGAGCTGGTGCGACGCGAGTCAGCCCCGAGTACAATTAAAATCTACATCATCTGTGAGAAAGGTGATGGAGGTTCTGACATCAGAGCTGTGCCAGATTCATCCTCTTTCCACAGTAACAGAAGAAACGTGTTGCCCCTTTCACCCCGTCACACTAATGATGTGCTGTGCAGATCCCTTCCTGTGCACATTAAAGGTACTAAATCAAGGGGCCTTCTATTTAAAAGCTTCACCTTT
Organism: Homo sapiens; assembly: GCF_000001405.40. Taxonomy (NCBI): domain Eukaryota; kingdom Metazoa; phylum Chordata; class Mammalia; order Primates; family Hominidae; genus Homo; species Homo sapiens. The sequence continues at coordinate 41,361,703 of NC_000012.12, read as the reverse complement.
ATCTGACATTCAGTAGCAAGACGTCCATTTCTAAACTTCAGTTGTGTATTCCTTGCTTCTTTTTTTGTGATGGGATGTCATTTATGTCTACCAGTGAAATATAAATAGAAAAGTTTATGATCCATATGGCCTCAAATTGTGGCAATATGCAGAAATTTCCTTGTTTTAGTTCCACAATGTTCAACCACACTAATAAAATCAGGTTTGAACATCCATTTGTTCCAGAAAGCCAAATTTTATTGCTAAAACATTCATAACTCATAACAAGCAAGCTCAATACCAATTCAGGGACAATCATCTTTATCTGCATGTCTTAAGTAAAAATTAAAAGTGGAGTTTAGGCAGGAATCATGTTCTTTTTGCCTTGTTGTATTAGGAGGAAACCTTCCAAATATATTTCATTAGCATTTCCAATGACTTTATTTTAAAATTAAATGGAATAGAAAGAAGTTACTGAAAGCTAATTCTATAATTATTTGTTTATGTACTTTTGTTATATACTTTTGTCTCTACTGAGCGATTATTCTTGAAAGACAAAACTGTAATCCATAAACTAGCACACTAATCTCTCATGTAACTGGAAGACAAAAATACTCACACTAAATAAGGAAATCCATGCTGTAAAGGCAAAGGAAAATCTGTGTAAGATGTATAAATATGTGTGTGTAAGCATGCATTTGTATATATTGCATATGCATGTATGTACATGTGTATGTTCCAAAGAATACACACACACACACACACACACACACACACACACACACTTTACTTATTCTTTGGAATGATAAATAGGTTTTTTGGGATATTTTTTGCTCTAATTTGGTAACCCTGCAATAAGGTAGAAAACCTCATGCAACAGAAGGCAGATAATTGTCAATGTACATATGGACATTAGCTATTTCAGATGGCAACTTTTCCATTCTCTTCCTGTGTCGGTTATGGTCTATAATATATAAAAGGTAATTTTTAGTCAAGCTTCTTTCAGGTAGTCTACTAATGTAAAAATTACACCTTTAGTCTATTCAGTTTATGAAAAATGTATAAAATGCAAGTCAATTATTCATTAATTTTTTTGCACCAAATAAGCCATATAACTCACTATGCAGTGTTCTATGATAATTTCTATAGCATAGGTTGTGGTCATTCTAAACCAGTAGGTTTCTGCCTTAGCTGCATGTTAGTATCACTTGTGGTATTTTTAAAAGTAAAGACTCACCCCAAATATGCTGGAACTGAATGTCTGGGAGTGGGTCCTAGACTTTTGTGAAAGATTCTCCAGGCAATAGCTAAAGCACCATGAGAGATGGAGACTTGTGTCCTAAACATTGCCTAAAAATTATTTTATATTTGAATTTCCAGCACCATTATAATAATTTTATTGGTTATGGATGTTCCTTGAGTTAAGCAAAAGAAATCAGTAACATTTCTGACACAAATTCATCCAATCCTATAAATAGTTCTTAGAAGATTACAGTATGTTCAGCTCTATGAACATAATAGCTCTATGAACATAGCATAGCATAGCTATGCTAATAGCTAGGTATTATGGAGGAGTACAAAAGAAATAGAAGTCATGGTTTCTATGTTCATGGAGCTAATCATCTTAGGAAAACGACACACAACAATCTTAACCAAATGTATTATAATTGTCACATTGGATGATGCTTACAATAGTTGTCAAAGAGGCAGCTGAAGTAGAAAGGAAGAGTGTGCAGGCATATGTTGATTATCCCCCGATGGAAAACTTCAACTAGTATTACTATGAATAGCAAGATCCACTACTGCTTCTTAGAAATGATTTTTTAAATTGTCACACAAAACTTCTAGGAGAAACCTGACAGACTAACAGTTAAAATAGAATAGATAAGGTACCTTGCTTTGTACATGTATAAGTCCGTTCTCACGCTGCTAATAAAGACATACTCAAGACTGGGTAATTTACAAAGGAAAGAGGTTTAATTGATTCACAGGTCCACAGTGCTGGGGAGGCCTCACAATCATGGTGGAAGGTAAAGGAGGAGCAAAGCCACGTCATATATGGAGACAGGCAAAAAGAGAGCATGTGCAGGGGAACTCCCATTTATAAAACCATCAGATCTCATGAGACTTATTTACTATCACAAGAACATAATGGGAAAGAACCCCCCGCCCCATGATTCCATTACAGTTGGGAATTATAATTCCCACTTGTATGGGAGTTACAATTCAAGATGAGATTTGGGTGGGGACACAACCAAACCATGTCAGTGCAGTAAGTCCTAGCTTGCCAAATAAAGGTTCTGTTTCTTAACTCCAAATGAAGATTGCCTACAGAAGATTGCTTTTCAGAATGCAGTACTGAAAATATTTAAGAGGTGGGCAAATCAGTTGATATATTAATGTAATAATTTGAACACAGAAGTGTCCCTTTTCTAGCCCAAATTAGCTATTGAAGAGATTTCTAGTTTTATTCCAATTCAATTCCAAACCCTTCTCAACCATAATACAATTAATCAGCTCTTTCCTTCTAAGAATAAAAAAAAATGTTAGAAGTTTGGTGATTGAAAATGCCTTTGAAGAAAGTAGCAGGAATAATAATTCTGAACGAGAAATGTAAAGGCCAGAGAGAAGGAAAGACTTGCGGTAAGTCACCCAGTTAACAACGTAATGTAAATAACAATAGAAATGGGCTGAAGTGGTATCATTAAACAATTTTCTGAACTTTGTTAGACAAATCAATCCCAGACCTTTAATCATTAAATTAAATAATTTAAATAAATTTAATAAGTAAAGGCCAATTGTTTCAGAAATGTTAGTAATGGAACCCAGTAGAAAAAATAAAATCTCTACTGAGTGGCTTTTGCTTTATAAAAGAAAGAATCATAACCTAGCTTTGACATGTGCTCACAATATGTAAATGAGCATGCAAATCACTCAAGCAACTGGAAGATGAAAGTGTATAAACAAAATAAAGTCATCCATGGCTCTGTGCTTTAGCGTCAAAGGAAAACCTTTCTAAGATGCACTGAAAGTTGTTAAATATATTCAAGTTTCACATATGAGTGATTTACAGCTGTGGCAGGACAGTCTTGTCACTCAGATTAGTTCAAGGTAAGTAGGTTTGAAATCAGACAGACTCAAATTCTTCCCCGACTCTGTGACTTACTAGCTGGTGACATTGGGCAAATCAACTTTTTTTCAGCTTAATTTCATCTATACAATGGAAAAAAGTGAGTAGATATGAAAGTAAGAGTATGGAAATTGTCCAGGACATTTTTCTTGACACATTGAAAATTTCAGGAAAAGGCAGAATAATAATGATGCTATTAATAAAATGAATAACTGGGAAATTTATTGGTTAAATATAAGAAAATAGAGTTTAATAAAAATATTCTCTTTCTATGCTGAGGAAATATATATGAGAGTTCTGGTAAACCTAAATGTAATTCTTCATTTCAGCATACATAACTAGTTGGGGTGGCTGCTGTTAAGCAAAGGGTCACAATTTTGAGGCTGTGCTTTTTGTCAACCTCCCATAATCTTCCTGTGTTGAGAAGAATATCAATTCCTACTAAGGGAACAAGCTTCTCTGAGGCATTACCACAAATCTGCAAATTCACATCGTTCAAAATGGAATTTTTTCAGACCTGCTAGTTGTCCCCATGTTTCACATCCTCACTTCCTCACTTATGATTGTCTCCAAAGCAAGAGGCAGAGTAACAATATCAGCCAATGTCTTGGCTGAAGTGAAAGACATGAAAATTTCCTCTTGGGTTGCATATGGCCTGTTTCTCACTTATCAGGTACTGGGGAGAGTGTTCCTCCCTTAGAGAGAGGCTAGAGGTGATACAGCTTGTTAGAAAACTGAGGGATATCCAGGAACAATTCAGAGACTGATCTTGTATCTAATAGCTGGGTACTGGAACATTTTAGTGGCTGCATGGCTGTTGCTACCACTCAAACAGCCAGCGAAGGCTAACATGGTCATCAGAGATGAGCCAAAACCTATTGCCTCACAAAATTCAAAAAGTTGCATGCATTATTGCAGGCCTCAGCAGCCTCATTAAATACTAGGTACAGTACATGCTTAAGCTAAAGCCCATGAATGTAGGAATTACTCATTGATGTAAGATCAACTTATAAGGAGAAAATTACTCATATGCTGTCAATATCATGAGGCCAGGGACCATGCTCATTGTGTTCATCTTTGTATGCCTAGCCCCTAGATAAGTCTGAGACCTAGAAGGTACTAAGTTATTTAATTGACAAATAAATGAAAATAATACCATACTGGTGAAGAGAATGGGCCTTAGAATACGTCAAGCACTATTTACTTAACTTTCCATGGCTTCAGTTTTCTCTTATGTAGATGTATATAGTAGTATAAACTGGCTTGTTGGGTTGTTGGGATGAATAAATTATTTATTGCTAGCAAGTAGCATAGGGCACAGAATAAGTGTTCTAAACATATTAATATTCTAGAGCATGGCCTTCATGTAGGCATGTGTGTGTGTTCGTGTTTTTGTGTGTGGGTGTGAGAGAAGGAGAGAGAGAAAGAGACAGAGGCAGAGAGAGAAAGAGACAGAGAGAGGGGAAGTTAATGTAAATCTTTCTAGATTTTGGAGCCAGAATTAATAAAACCACCCTTTTAGAGTTCTGTTTTTCATCTGCATAAAAAAATTAAAAACCTTTAAACAAGCATTCCAAATAATTCTCCTCTGAAAACAGCTTGAGAGTTTATGAGTTCTAACCCTGATTCCCTGAGGTAAACTGTGGACTTGCAGATTGGTAAACCTAAGTACTTGAAATGAATCTTAAAATCACTCAACAATGAGGTTTCCCAACAAAAGAATAATGAAATACTAATTTGGAACATTTTTCTGAACAGAATGCCACTTGTTACTCATTCTTCCCTTTAGTTGTTCAAAGATAAAATTGACTCAGTGATGGTGTCAGATCCAAGTCTCTACCAGATGAAATCAGTTCTAAAAGGTCACAGTAAAATTAGGAAAGGCAGATGGAAAATGTGCTGATAACAGCTGGTAGCCCCCAAAAGTGTGCACACTGGTATAATTATGGTATCAGACATTGCTCTTTCATCTCTTTTCTCTATGTGCTTCTTTAATTCCAGGAGATACAATTATCTTGGTGGTTGAAATTCAACAACATACAATACAGGTTGATGGTTGGGAAGACATCATTAGGTTCTTAGTCAATATAGAATTCTTCTTGTCAATGTAGACTATCAAGGAATAAGCATGAATACACTCCTTCTTAAGGCCTTCAGTATAGATTCTAAAACCTGCCACCTTCCAACATTGTTATTTTTATTTTTTATCACTTCCTCCTACCAATGTTAAAGAATAGAAAACATAAATTATATCTAAAAAGAGGAAACAATCATTTAACTTCCCCTTGTTTTAATCAGTTTTCTAATATTGAATCCAATCTCCATTAATTCAAACTTTTAAACATAATTTTAAAAATATTCTTATGATTCTTCAATTGGGTGCAGTTTAATTTAGTCAGCATGTAGTGTTTCAAAGATTCTTAGTTTCTAAATTGAAAGTGTGCTTAGTTTATGTTTATTCTTACATCTTGGTCCTACATAGATCATTGAATCCATTGCTGTATCAGAGAGATAATGGCCAGAGCAACTTCAAAGAGAGTAAATTTTTTAGTCAGTTCAATTCTCAGAACTAAATAAAAACAAAAGAGGATCTTTGAATGTTCACATATAATTTTTGCTTTCATATTTATACTTTTAAAAGTCTATAGAGGCAAGAACCCACTTGTAAAATCACAGTGGGGGTGATTGTCATTGTACTGAGTAATGGCATGCACATAATACATGCGTTCATTTGTCAAGCACCAAAAAACCACTCTCTCCTGGTTAGTGTTTCTTTTTTTAACTCCCTCTTGGATAACTGTGCATGAAACAAAAGTTTAATTCTCTGAACAAGCTCCAGAAAACTTGGAGACACTAATACTTTTTGATCACCTTCTTCTATTTCCATTTTTCATGTTGTGGGACCCAGCTGTCTGCTTACAAGACTACAAAGATTTTGTTTAATACAGTATCAATGTTCTTGGTTTACCATTGACAGATTTGAAAAGGTTGTTAAAAACTGAATGCATATATGCAAATGTTTTGTTATTAAATGGAAACATTCCAAGAACTCAAATGATCCATGTGAAATTTTAATTATAACTTAACAGCTGCTTGAGCTAATTGAAGGATATCAGAAAGGTGATTTCCTTCTCATTGTAATTAAAGAGTTAAGCCTAATTTGCTGTTGTCAGAACAAGACTAAATACCAATCTGGTCTGCCTAATTATATTAAAAGGTAAACAGATAACTGCTAGAAAAGGGTAGGGCCCATCCTAACAAAGACAACAGGTTCTCAATGTGTCATCACCGCCCCACTCGTATTGGAATATGAACGATGACCTTTAAGGAAAGTAGCAACTGTTCTCAACTTCTGCTATGAAGGCTGCAATTTCATCTTGCAGCATCATCTGTTCACTCCCTCTGGTAGCCAATTTTATTTTCTTGAACCAGAGTTCCGATTTCTCAGTCCTTTCCCCAAGGGCCCTCAGCGATCTCTTCACTTAAGAGATAAGAAAGCAGAGGACAACAGAGGGCAAGAATATCTTCAAAGCAAACACTTAGTCGGTGGCAAAACAAGACTCTTGATTAAACAGTGTGGTGCTTTCCCCACTATTCTCTGTGCTTTGCATCTACTAACATGGAATTTACCTTGCCTCAATTCCACTGCATTACAGTAACATGGAAATATACATTGAATTCTTCGGTTATCTTTGTAATGGTATGTACGATATTACTTGCCCTTTGTTCCAGGAGGTCCGAAAAGTTACATTTTTGAATTATTCTACAGGAATGTGATGGAGGAGTGTCCTGTATGAGCCATACCAACCTTTAATATCTAATTGAATGGGGTTAAAACTCTTACTCAGCAGTGCAAGGATCTTAGATGTAAAATAAAGGAATAATTTTATCTAAGCCTGGTATTTTCTGCTTCTTATGATAGCCTTCCTCACTTCTGGGTAGGCCTCCAGAGATTAAAACAGGGATGTGAAATTCAGCTGCCAAGAGTTCTGGCAATTCTGATACTTCTTGGATAATTCTTGTTCTCCTTCATTTATGAATTCAATTTCTTTCTATCAGCCCATAATATAAATGTAGCCAGTATTTGTTTCTGTCCTTTTTTTTTTCACTTTCCAAAAAAGAGACTCATAGGTAAAAATTCATATGAATTCAGTATGGGACTGAAGAGGGAGAGGCTTATTTAATAATCTTTGGGTTGTTCTCAACGGACACTTGCATCCTTCCCTCTGATGCAAATACATAAGTGAGGCAAGGTTGAAAACGGAGAATCCATGTGTGGTCTATATGTTAGCCCTCAGGCATGTCAGGGAAGATTATGGAGAGGACCAATACTCTACAATTCTTCATCAGTGCAATAACCCATTTGCTTAGAAAATTACCTGACACCTACCTTATTACTATTAAGGCTTTGATTATCACTTCTCTAATCTGTGCTCAATCTCATATTGCTATCGCCTAATTATATATTTGTTGCGTCTACTCAAACTCAACCTGTCTAACCTTTTCCCATGCAAGCCAGCTGCCTTGTTAATATGGCCCACTTCTCCTATATGATCATTCTAGTTACCGTCTCTCAAATTATTTATCCTACATAACACTGATGTTAATCTTCATAAAGTATCCGTTAGGTAATGCCATCCTACTACTCAAAATGCTTTTATATTGGGATAATTCCTGTAAATTGAAGTTCAAACTCCTTAGGCTGATATGAAAAGCCCTCATAATCTCATCCTAAACTCTTGCACTTGTTATAATTCTTAAATGAAAACAACAGAAAATTCTAACTGGTTAAAGTAGAAAAGGCAATTGTTGGAAGAATTACTGGGTTGCTTACAGAGTTGTTAGGGAGGCAAGAGAATTGATTTAGAAAATGGACATGAAACAAGAGAGGCCAGGCAGCCCCTGAGCCATTCTAGAGAGAACACTTCTGCCTCCACCACTGCCACAGCTTGCCACACCTCCTCACCAGTGCTGCTTGCTATAGGTTGACACCAAATGCATTACCATCACTACCACACAGACTGGATGTAGGTGCCCTTGCTCTCCAAATTCATGTCTCATTACAACTAGGTTGTGATTCCAAGTTCCCAGACAAGTCATCTACTTTAGCTGAACTTATGTCTGTGCCCTATCTTTCGTTATAAAGTCACTGGATCAACATGCATCTGGACTTGACAAGTTCAAAAGCAGTAAGTAAGGTCTGACTCCTACCAATGCTCATATAGGAGGACATTCTGCAAACAATGGAAAGGAATTCAGATGACAGGAAAAACAGAAAATATATCAAAATAAAAAGAGAGAGAGAAAGTGAATGGGTGAGTGAGTGAAAGAGTGGAATTCTAGGATTAACTAATAAAACCATCAACCCATTAAGTTATGGTGCATTCAGTCATTGCAAGAAAAAAAATCCTATTCTGTCTCATCTTCACAAATAATTAAAATAATTATGAATATGCATATTAAAATATCTGGTATATCACCAACAAATAGAAGTGCCTAATTAACAAACATTTCTTCCATTCTAGATGAAATGCCTTTCTCTCTTCGTTTTCCCAGATCTACCCAACCTAAGGATTTGCTTGCCAACTATATTGTCCAAGAAGTTATCTTAGAACACTCCAACTCAGTGTTATTCATCTCTTCTAAATTCCTATTGCATTTAATCCATATTATTCATTATGGTCTTTGTCATTTATATTGTCACACTGTTAGCTACCTTTTCACATGTGTAGTTTTATATCCTCAGATTGCAACCATCATGACAATAAAGACTATGTGCTATAATTCTTTGTATCAATGCTCACACCTATCATTATATCTTTGGGGAGGCAAACACATAAGAAATGCATACTGATTGCCTGTTTAGCCTGGAAGTTGGTTTTAAATTAAATTCTGAATCACCCACCTCCACGTACTTTCTCATTCATATAAAAAGAAAAGTGCAGAAAAAAATTGGGTTAATAAGTGAGCTGATTTCCTATTAGTCAAGGCCTTATCACAATAAGCTTCTAGAATAATTGAACTCTCATATAATTTTTTTGTTTCACTTTAAAACATGTAACAGAAGTTCTGGAATACATAGAGTGAAAGAATTGACAACAATAAGTTCACCAGGGGCAGAAATGCCATGATAAATGAAAAGAACTCAAGGTATCTTATCCTGAGTAGAACAGGAACTGCCAGTCACCCAAATAAATCACCCACTACTCCCTTGCCACTGGCTCATACTATTAGCATCTGACATGCTTAAGTCTGTTCCATCTAAATCAACAAAAGCACTTTCTTGACAGTCTGTCCTTTGCAAGATGACACCTTCCTTTTCTCTCTTTCCTTTCACAGCCATGCTTCTTAAAAGTGTAGCCCATGCTCACTCTCCAAGCTGGCACCATCACTCCATTTAATCTGTTAATACTGAGTTCACCAGGTAACTTTCATTTGCCAAATCCAGTGCACCCTTGTCAGAAAGTATCTTACATGACCACACGGTGTAATCCAATACATCCCCACTTTTTTCAAATAGTCACCTCCTTAGTTTTCATGCTATTTATTTCCCAGCTCTACTTTCTCATTTTTATTCCTTTGAAATTTTTATTTATTTATTTATTTATTTATTTTGAGACAATGGTCTCTCTTTGTTGCCCAGACTGATCTCACACTCCTGAGCTCAAGTAATCCTCCCACCTCAGCCTCTTGAGTAGCTGGGATTACAGACAAGTATCACCATGCCCAGTTTATTCTCCTGAGATTTTTAAAAATACTTCTCCTACTTCAATACACCTGTTTGATATTGAGTGTTCTCCAAATTATTGTCCTTAGCCTTATTCTCTTTGATATGGTTTGGCTCTGTGTCCCCACCCAAATCTCGTGTCAAATTGTAATTTCTAGTTTTGGAGGAGGGGCCTTGTGGGAGGTGACTGAATCATGAGGGTGAACTTCCCCCTTGCTGATCTTGTGACAGAGTTCTCATGAGATTTGGTTGTTTGAAAGTGTGTAGCACCTCCCCGTTCTCTCTCTCTCCTTCTGGCCATGTGAAGATGTGCTTGCTTCCCCTTCACTTTCCACCATGATTATAAGTTTCCTGAGGCCTCACCAGAAGCAGAAATCTGTACAGCCTATAGAACCATAAGCCAATTAAACCTCTTTTCTTTGTAAATTACCCAATCTCAAGTGTGTCTTCATAGCAGTGCAAGAACGAACTCATACACTCCTCTTACCTTTTCATCTATTTATATGTCTGAATCCCCCACTGACTTTCAAACTCTTTACAGAAGAAGCTGTTTTACCTACAACACCATACTACTACCTAATAAAGAGTACTCCTCCTTGGTTTTGCTTTGCTTAGTTTTAAGAAAATGGGTAACAATATTCCTCTGGAATTTCTGACATCATGTCATGTCTGAAGGGATTATCACCTAGAAGGTAATGACTCTAATCTATGTCTTCATGCTAGATTTCTGTATGTAAAACTCAAGTCATATATTTCATTGACTTTTGGTTAAAAATTTAAGATGCTTCTAACAACCAGAATAGTGTCCATAACCCAAAACTCCAGAAGAAATGCATGTATTCCACTTCCTTTTAATTAGACTTTTGTCAGATATTGAAGCCTATCTAGAATCAAAGTTTCAATACTTTCCAATCAAATTACACTGTGATGAATAGGTCCCTCTCACGTGTGTTGCAGATGAAGGTAGGGAGGTATTGACTGCTGTTTCTACCCTGAGAGGGAGGCTGCTTCTGGGTCAGACAAACTCCAGTCCAATTTTGGATTGATGACATCTTCAGTTTCTAGATTCATAAAGTGGATATAAGAACATGTCCAACATAACTGGGGGGATATATTCAAAACATGTATGTAACTTTCTAAGCTACTATTACTGTATTTTTGAAAGTTATATCTATTGTTTCCTGCATGACTTGCAAGAAACTATGCATTATATTTCATTTTGGCAGAAATTTATTAAGCTGAAAATCAGGCACTCATATTCAACTTAAACTAGAATACAACCCTCTTGAGAATGCGTTTCTATTTGTTCCTATAATTTTTGTCATTGTTTGCATTTTTTCACTAAAATGTATCAAATTTGAGAGATTTCATAAATAATAAAGTTATTTTGAATCCTTGAGGACATCTTTTTTGTTTGATACCTTGAGTGCTTTAAGGACTTTTAAAATTTAGTTTTCTATAGACATTCATCAAGATTAATTACAAACAGTTGTTAACTCCCAGTGCCATCTTGTCTAGGCAACAAAGTCACAAGCATTACAGGTTGATGAAAAACACTAAACTCTGGAATTGCTTCACTTGCCCAAAGTACTAGGAACTAATATTAATTATATCAGTAAGCCACGGGAGCACACTTGATAATCTAACAGCACATTAGAGTGATTTGATAGCAGGGGATATGTCTTATTTGTTTTTATAATCCCAGCATTGAACACAGTACCTGTCACATAGGAGAAATTAAAGAAATATTTACAGAATGAAGGAATGATACATTCACCAAACTGATGGAAGACTCACTTACATAAAATATAAATTATATCTGTTCAAGCCTTATCAACAACTTTCTACTACAGATAGGATAAAATCTAAAGTATTCATTTTTTTTAATTGTGTTGCTCCTGTACCCTTTACTCCAACCATGTGGTGTTATTTGCAATTCCTCATATATATTATAATTCCTCATATAATTTTTCAATAATTAGCTCAAGGACACTCCCTATATGAGGCCCTTTTTGACTTCTGCAGGAAGAAATGACCACTGCATTTTTGTTATTGCTTCCCCATACCGTATACATATACCTCTGTTATGAAATGCCTCATTGTAATTATGTATTTAATACATAAATACAATAAGTCTCCTCCCAAGCAAGAAAGCTCCTTATTCATTATTATATTACAAGATTCTCTTGTGGTGCTGGGTACAAACTAGGAAGTCAATAGATGTCGAATATAGAGTTAATTAATGTTTTTAAGGAAGGACACATGGATTATTAGAAGAGGTAGAAATGCAAGGGCAAATAAATAGTGAGTCTTTTCAGTTACATAAAGCCTAATAAATTAATATTTATTTATCTCAATAACCTATTTTATAATGGAGACATAGAAAGATAGCACAAAGTATACAGATAAAAATAAACATGGATGGTAAAATGGGTGCCTATAATAATCTCAAATTTGACTATAAGCTTTAACTATAGATAATACAAAGAATATCCTAAATTCAGTCTTCTCTTTTGTTCAATTCACATGTCTTAATCTAGTATATATAAAGTATTTCACTTGACTAAATTGTAGTGGAAATTCCCCTTCTTATAGTCTCAAAGACTACTCTTAAATAATACAGTGAAAAGAAGTTAATCTACAACAGTGGTTCTCAAACTTTTATTCACAGAATATCCTTTACACAGTTAAAAGGGTACTGAAGATTCCAAAGAGCTTTTTGTTAATATAGGTGATCCCTATTGATAGTAATTGTGTAAAAAATTGTGTCAAAATTAAAATTTATAAATATTTATTTAAATGACCCTAGTAATCTTTTAACAGGCTAACATAAATAACATTTTAACAAAAAATAAATACATGTTACCAAAGAGAAAATCATGACAAGAATAAAATATTTATATGAAAAATATTTAGATTCATATACGTACATAGATGGAACACAAAGGGACATTTTAATAGCTTTTACAGATAACTGTGGATATTCCTCTTTGATACTACACCAAAACTTGACAAATAGAAATTTATTAAAAGAGAGCTATGATGTGAAATCTGAACCCAGTAGCTTCTCTGTCAATATCCATGGCTTGTCTGTCATTCTTGTATATAAAAATGGTGTTTCATTTAAAAAAAATGGAGTAATTCAGCTTGCAACTCAATCATACAAGTGCTGTTCCTTGAGACCACCATTATCACTTAAGTATGCAGCAGAGTGCTTTCTGTATGTTTCCCATTTAATCAAGCTATTAAAAAGACATGTATTCAAGGGTTGAGATCTAATAAAATTAATAATTTTACTACTACATCAAGAACATTCTTAAATGAAACTGGCATTTCTTCATTCATTCGTTTTATTTTTTTAACTTTTACTGCAAATCTGTAGTAGTAAGAACATATGACTACTAGCACAGTTTGGTGCCACTGCCTTAATTCAACCTAAGGCATAGCAGTTTTATCCATCATTGCTTCTGCATAATCAGCAAAATATTCATACAATGAAAAAGGCAAATAATATCTGAATCTTATTATGAAAATTATCTTGACTTAGCAGATCCCCTGTAAGAGTCCCAGGGGCCCCCAGAGTTTTGCTAGCCAAACTTTTAGAAGTGCTGCTCTACAGCACAGAATAGTTAAGATCAGCAATGCTGTACACTCCAGAAACCTAAATACAAGTGGTACTAGTCAATGATTTACTTGATTTTTACTAGTTAAGGGATAATCTCCCAAAACTTTACCTTTATTTTTAATTTAAGATAAAAATCATGAATAATACCACTACCTATAACCAGGAATAATCTTTCACCTTTGAATTTCCAGTACAAATGGTCATTACATTTCATGTGGTCCTTTTCATATTTTACTTTACATCTTAGTTCTTTGTGTCATGTCTGTTCCTCCTTATTAGGCAAAATCCCTCAGGGGCAAATTTCGCATCATGTTTTAGGAAAGGATCATAACTATATAATAGTTACTTAAAAATATTTGCTTCGTTCACTTAACTAATATATCTGACCAAACCAGAAAGAATTAGGTCTATGCCATGAGATACACTTTACAGATGTTTTAAATGTTCAAATGTTTGAATTTAAAAGCTGAAGCTACAAAATTCTCAGAAGAAAACCTAGGAGTAAGTCTTTGTAACCTTGAGATAAGTAAATGCTTTCTTAGATATGACACCTAAAGCATAAGTAACAAAAGAAAATATACATTAGTTAGACTGTCAAAATTTAAAAATTTATGCAGCTAAAAATATCATCAGAAACTGAAAATGCAACCCATAGAATAAGAAAAAGTATTTGCCAAAGCACACATCTGATAAGGAACTTGTACACAAAATATCTAAAGAACCCTTACATGTCAACAACAAAAAGACAAATAACCCAATTTAAAAGTAGGCTAAGGATTTGAGTAGACATTTCTCCAAAGAAGATATGCAAATAGCAAATAAGCACAGAAAAAGATGATTAGTGTCATTAGTCATTAGCAAAATGCAAATCAAATCCACAATGAGATACCACTTCATACCCATAAAGATAGCTATAATAAAAAACACAATAGGAAGTGCTGAAGAAAATATGGTGAAACTAGAATCCCAATGCATTGCTTTTGGGAATGTAAAATGATGGAGCTGTGAAAAGCAATTTGGCAGTTTTTCAAAGGGTTAAACATAGAGTTTAACCTCAGGACCCAGCAATTCCTCTCCTAGGTATATACCCAAGGAAAATGAAAGCAAATATCCACACAAAAATTCATACATGAACGTTCACAGCAGCATTATCCATAATAGCCACATGTGGAAACAACTGGAAATGTCTATCAACTGATAGATAAACTAAATATGATTTATCCATGCAATGTAATATTATTTAGCAATAAAAACCAATGAAGTACCAAATATATGCAAGAAAATCAATGCACCTTTAAAACATTATGCTAAGTGAAAGAAAACAGACACAAACAACCATATACTGTATGATTCTATTCATATGAAATGCCCAGAATAGGCAAATCTATAGAGACAAAATGTATATTAGTGAGAGGTTAGAGGAATGGAGAATGACAGCTAATAGTATGGGGTTTCTTTAGGAAGGACAAAAATGTCCTAAAACTAGATTGCTGTAATAAACCAAAAAACCAAACATTTCCAAAACCATTGAATTGCATACTTAAAAAAATTATTTAGTACCATCCACCATCAAGCTTTTGGTTAGATTGTTTATATCAATGCCAAATAAATACAGCAATACTGATATATCTGTATTTACTATATTAAAAATTAAAATTTAGAGCACTAAAAAATAATGCTTAAAGGAACCTTCAAGGATGTCTAATATTATAGAATTTGAAAACATAATCAATTTTAATTTAATTTATTTTTATTTTTATTTTATTTTATTTTTATTTTTTGAGACGGAATCTCGCTCTTTCACCCAGGCCTGACTGCAGTGGCGCTATCTCGGCTCACTGCAAGCTCCGCCTCCCAGGTTTACACCATTCTCCTGCCTCAGCCTCCCGAATAGCTGAGACTACAGGCGCCCGCCACCGCACCCAGCTAATTTTTTGTATTTTTAGTAGAGACGGGGTTTCACCGTGTTAGCCAGAATGGTCTCGATCTCCTGACCTCGTGATCTGCCCGCCTCGGCCTCCCAAAGTGCTGGGATTACAGGCGTGAGCCACCGTGCCCGGCCCAATTTATAAACCAAATATAGTTCATACTGCACCTTTTCAGGGGATGCGCACAAGATCTGCTTATAAACTAGGAAACATTGGACAAGGGGCTTAATCTCGTGTTCACTTTCATCATCTGTACAATTGGAAATTGATCATTTCAAGATTAAATGAGAAAACATAAAGTTTAACACAGACTGAATATCCTCCAGTAAACACTAAAAATACTAGTTTTAATAAGAATAATAACTAATATTATTATTGGTAATAATATACATGTAATATATTATCAGAACTCTAAATACTTGATATTCACTGTCATACCCTTTCAAAATAAATATATATTACACACAATCCAATTGGAAAACAGTGATCATTTGCAGAAGTTTATCTTTCAGTTTTAATATTTGTACTGGAATTTCAAAAGTTCAATGAAAAATTCCAATACAAAAATTGGGGGCAAGAGGAAGAAAGGTGTATGCATCCCCACGCTGTGCTTCCTGGATAAAAACACTGTCTCGATCAAATTATTTTGCAACTCATCTCTCTCTATCCCAAAAGAAGTAGATTAAAAGCAACTGAGAAGATAAATGATTCCTCACCAAAAGTGGGAGGAAAAATTAATTTGGGACTGGGACAACAAAACATTTATTTGTCATTACTGCACTGAGGAATCCCAGAAAATGACTAGAACCCTTTGTATATTGTTTGCCTGCAAGAATCAATGTCTGTTTTCAGCCCTTTGTCAATTTCCTCCTCCTGATGCCTTAGTTCATTCTCACTGAAGGTTTTAGCAGTATTAACCATCCACAGTAGCTGAGTCAGTAAAGAAGTGAGAAGAGGGAGGAGGAAGACACACCGACAGGAGGGGGAGGGTGGGTCATGAATTTATAAGAACTAATTTGTCTAATATTCAGTAACAAAAGGAACGCGTCTGTGCCGTGCATTAATGCAGCATCAATCACTGACTAACTGCTCGCCACACATAATGAGAACATTCTCTGGCCAGCCCCATGGTCTGTAAAGACAGCTGGGGAGATAATAACCCAAATGGAATTTTTATTTTAATGCAACTCCCATCCTTTAAACACAAAAATGAAACAGATTAAAGTTGGTAAAAATGTAACGGCCTTTCATAAAAGCTTAGTGTAATAACATATTTATTCCAGCAGTGATGCCTAAGAGCCTGAAATGTCTCCGCTTGATTGTTGGGATTCTCCAGTTTAATGGCTCTTTTCTTTTAATTCATTATGAGTTGCTTTAGACTCTCCAGTGGTTGTGTCTAATAGCATTGCTCATCTGATTACATTTCAGTACAGTTTTTTCTTGAAACATGTTTGAAAAGCTGCACTTTATGCTAACTAATTTTATTTTAAATCAAAATTATATCCCTATCGATAATTATGTAAAATTTTAAATATATATATTATGTATATCATATATCATATATATGATATATATATCTTACATCAAAAAATGAAAAATTAATTATTATAAAAGTGCACAGAAACAGGCATTATATTTAAAAACAGATCAGCTTCACTGCAACCGCAATGTAGGTCCTATGTTAGGAAAAACATTTCACCCAGTTTCCTATTTGTTTCTTTACTCTAAAAAACAAAGCCTAAGCAAGAAAGTTGTTTTTTCTTTTTTTCATTTGTTAGACGGTGGTAGTTTTTCTGTCCTAGAGATAGTTTAAGAATACATTTGAAAACAAACGTGAACATGAAAATAGCTTTTGACATTTAATGATTTTCTAAAAACTCATCAGCAACTAGGAAATCTACCTGAGCTTGTCTAAGAGTGGGTCATGAGGCACAATGAAATCAGTTCACTATGCCATTCGATATGTTGTCACTATTAGAAATAATGAACTGTCCAGGCAAGAGTTATTTCCTAAGACACTTTTAAAATGGTAAAGGCGCTGAGAGGAAATATGAAAAACAGTAAGCCTAACAATGACAAACAGGAGAAAAAAAATTTAATGAGGTCAAGTTGAAAATATAATTTAAGATAAAAAGCCTCATTGAACTCTGTCTGCTATTCTACTGCAACAGAATGATATAATCAACTTATTTGATCACCAGTATAGATTCTAACTCAGGGAAGCTGCTTTAACATGAAGAAAGAAACATAAAATGTCTGTGTTAAAAATGAGTAGAAACCTGAAGTATACAATTTTATAATATGCATTGCATTTTATTGGACCTAACATAATTACATTTTATGATAAAATTATTTTGAGATTAATATACCATAAGACTGCCAGAAATCTTTGATATCTTTACATAAATTGAAATGCTTTTTTTAACTTTCTTGTTTTTATTGGCACATTGTACTTATACATATTTATAGGGTACAATTTGATGTTTTCATATATATATATGTTGTATAATGATCAAATCAGGGTACTTAACATACTCATCACCTTGTGCATTTATCATTCATTTGTAGTGAGACCATTCAAAAGCCTCTCTCCTAGCCTTTTTGTAATATACAATACTTACTGATAACAATGGTTGCCCTACTGTGCAGTAGAACACCAGAACTTATTCCTCCTATCTAATTGCAACATTGTACCGTATACAACTCTCTCTATCCTCCCCTCCCCCACTTCCCCTCTCCAGTCTCTGGTAAACACTGCTTTATTCTCTTCTTCCATGATAAAAACTTTTTAAAATTTTAATAGTTTTGGGCATACAGGTAGTTATTGGTTACATGGATGAGTTCTTTAGTGGTGAATTCAGAGCAGAACTAAAAGAAATTGAAACAAAAAAATACAAAATGTAAATGAAACAAAAAGATGGTTCCTTGAAAAGATAAACAAAATTGAAAGGCCATTAGAGAAATTAACCAAGAAAAGAAGAGAGAAGTTTCAAGTAAGCTCAATTAAAAATGAAACTGGAGATATTACTACCAATACCACGGAAATACAAAATATCATTTAAGGCTATGATGAAAATCTTTATGTGCACAAACCAGAAAATCTAGAGGAAATGGATAAATTCCTGGAAGCATACAACCCTCCCAGATTAAATCAGGAAGAAATAGAAACTCTGAATAGTATCTGTCTTTCTGTGTCTGGCTTATTTCACTTAACATTATATCCTCCAGGCCCATCTATGTTGTCACAAATGATAGTATTTTATTCTTTTTCATGGCTGAATAGGGTTTCACTGTGTATATAAACCACATATTCTTTATCTATTTATTGTTTTTCCATTCATTAATTGTTGGATACTTAGGGAAATTCCATATTTTCACTATTGTAGATAGTGCCACAATAAACATGGGAGTGTAGTTGTCTCTTCTATGTACAAATTTCATTTTCATTGGATAAATACCTAGTAGTTGGATTGCTGGAGCATATGGTAGTTCTATTTTATAATTTTTTGAGAAAACTCCATCTCTTTTTCATAGTGGCTGCACTAATTTACAATCCCACCAACAGTGTGTAAGTGTTCTCTTTTCTCCATATATTTGCCAATATATATTTTCTTTGGTCTTTTTGATAGTAGCCATTCTAACAGGATTGAGGTGATATCTCATTGTGGTTTTTATCTGCATTTTCCTGATTAGTTATGTTGAACATTTTCTTCATATACCTGTTGGTCAGTTGGTCATTTGTTTGTCTTCTTTTGGGAAATGTCTATTGAGATCATTTGCTCATTTAAAAAATTTGATTATTATATTTTTTCTGTGGAGTTGTTTAAGTTCTTTATATATTCTGGATATTAACTCCTTGTCAGACGTATAGTTTGCTATAGTTTGCAAATATTTTCTTCCATTCTGTAGGTTGTCTGTTAAGGGTTTCTTTTGCTGTGCAAAGCATTTTAGTTTGTTGTAATCCCATACGCCTATTTTTGCTTTTGTTGCCCGCGCTTCTGGGGCCTTATTTTAAAAATCCTTACCCAGCCCACTGTTATAAAGCATTTCCCTTATGCTATTTTATAGCAGTTTCATAGTTTGGCAGTTTATATTTGAGTCTTTAATCCCATTTTGAGTTGATTTTTGTATATGGTGAGACGTAGGGGCTGAGTATCATTCTTCTGGATGTGAATATCTAATTACCCCAGCACCATTTATTGAATAAACTATCTTTTTCCCAATATATATTGTGCCACCTTTGTCAAAAATCAGTTGGCTGTAAGTGTGTAAATTTTTTTCTGGGATTTTTATTGTGTTCCATTGGTGTATATGTTTGTTTTTATGACAGTACCATGCTGTTTTGGTTACTGCAGCTTTGTAGTATATTTTGGAGTCAAGTAGTGTGATACCTTCAGATTTTTAATTTTTGCTTAGGATTGCTTTGGCTGTTCAGGGTCTTTTGTGTTTTCATATGAATTTTAGAATTTTTGTCTTTATTCCTGTGAAAAATGTCATTGGTATTTTGACAATGATTGCATTAAACTTGTAGATCACTTTGGGTAGTATGGCTGTTTTAACAGTGTTAATTCTTTAAATCCATGAACAAAATCTATCTTTTCATTTATTTGTGTTTTCTTCAATTTCTTCTATCAATGTTTTATAGTTTTCAATGTAGAGAAGAGATTTTTCACCTTCTTGGTTAAGTTTGTTCCTAGCTATTTTTTTTGCTAGCTATTATAAATATAATTGTTTCATTGATTTCCTCTTAAGGTAGTTCACTATTAGTGCATAGAAATGCTACTGATTTTTATATGTTGATTTTGTTTCTTATAACTACTGGATTCATGTAATAGTCCAAACAGTTTTTCAGTGTTTTAGGATACTTTATATACAAGATCACATCTCCTGCAAATAGGGACAATTTAACTTCTTATTTTTAACAGGGATGCCTTTTATTTCTTTTTTTGCCTAATTGCTCTGGCTAGAACTTTCAATACTACATTGAATAGGAGTGGTAAAAGTAGGCACCTTTGTAATGTTTCTGATCTTAGAGGTTTCAGGTTTTCCCCATTCAGTATGATGTTAGCTACAGGTTTGTCATACATGGCCTTCATTGTGTTGAGATGCATATTCTCCATACCTAATTTTTTAAGAGTTTTTTTTTTTTATCATGAAAGGATGTTGAACGTTGTCAAATGCTTTCTCTGCATCTATTGAAATGATCACGTTTTTGTCTTTTTATTAATGTGTTTTAATGCATTTATTGATTTCTACATGTTAAACCATCCTTGAATCCCTGGATAAATCTCCCTTGGTGATAGTGAATTATCTTTTTAATGTACTGCTTGCTAGTTTGCTAGTATCTTGTTGAGAATTTTTGTATCTATGTTCATCAGTAATATTGGCCTGTAGTTTATTTTTTTGTTGTGTCCTTGTCTGGTTTTGGAATAAGAGTAATATGGCCTCATGAGTTTTGAAGTGCTTCCCCGTCTTCAATTTTCTGGAAGTGTTTGAGGGGACTTAGTATTAGTTCTTCTTTAAATCTATGGAAGAATTCAGCAGTGAAGCCAATGGGTCGTGGGCCTTTTTTTCATTAAAAAATGTCTGGGTATGTTGTAGCAACATAGATTTATAGAGTACATGAGATATTTTGATACAGGGATTCAATATATGATAATCACATCAGGGTAAAGGGGGTATCCTTGATCTCAAGCACTTATCATTTCTTTGTGTTATGAACATTCTGATTATACTCTAGTTATTTAAAAATATACAGTAAATTAATGTTGACTGTAGTAACCCTGCTGTGCTATCAAATACTAGATCTTATTCATTACATCTAATTATATTTTTTCTTCCCATTACCCATCCCTACTTCCTCACCCCCAACCTCACTACCCTTCCCAGCCTCTGGTAACCATTATTCTACTCTCCATCTCCATAAGTTCAATTGCTTTTAGTTTTAGATTCCACAAATGAGTGAGGACATGTGAAGTTTGTCTGGCTGTGCCTGGCTTACTTCACTTAACATAATGTCCTCCAGTTCCATTCATGTTGTTGCAAATGACAGAATCTCATTCTTTTTCATGGCTGAATCGTTCTCTATTCTATACATGTACTGCATTTTCTTTATCCATTCATCTGTTGATGGACACTTAGGTTGCTTCCAAATCTTGGCTATTGTAAGCAGAACTGCAGTAAACACAGGAGTGCAGATATTACTTTGATAAACTTATTTCCTTTCTTTTGGGTATATACTCAGCAGTGAAATTGCTGGATCATATAGGAGGTCTATTTTTAGTTTTTTGAGGAACTTTCATAAGGTTATTCATAGTGGCTGTACTAATTTATGGTGTAACCACCAACAGTGCACAAAAGTTCCTCTTTCTTCATATTCTCACCAGCATTCATTACTGCCCATTTTTTGAGACAAGCCATGTTAACTGGGGTAAAATAATATCTCATTTTAGTTTTGATTTGCATTTCTCTCATGATCCATGATGTTGATCTTCTTTTCATATACATGATTGCCATTTGTATGTCTTCTTTTGAGAAATCTGTATTCAGCCCTTTTGCCCATTTTTAAATTGGATTATTAGATATTTTTCTATTGAGTTGTTTGAGTGCATTACATATTCTGCCTATTAATTCCTTGTCAGATGGAGAGTTCATGACCCCCATTCTATGGGTTGTCTGTTCACTTTGTTGATTGTTTCTTTTGCTGTATAAAAGCTTTTTAACTTGATATGGTCTCATTTGTCCATTTTGCTTTGTTGCTTTGTTGCTGATGCTTTTTGGGTATTACTTAAGAAATCTTTGCCCAGTCCAATGTCCTGGAGAGATTCTCCAATGTTTTCTTGTAGTCGTTTCATTAGTTTCAGGACTTAGATTTAAATCTTTACTTCATTTTGATTTGATGTTTGTATTTTGTGAGAAGAGTCTAGCTTTATTCTTTTGCATATGGATATCCAAGTTTCCCAGCACCATTTAGTGAAAAGAGTATTCTTTCCCCAACATGTGTTCTTGGCAACTTCGTCAAAACTGAGTTCACTGTAAATGGATGCATTTATTTATGTGTTCTCTATTCTGTTCCATTCGTCTATGTGTTTGTTTTTAATGCCAGGGCTGTGCTGTTTTGGTTACCATAACTCTGTAGCATAATTTGAAGTCAGGTAATGTGATTCCTCCCATTTTGTTTTTTTTTTTGCTCGGAATGACTTTGGCTGCTTTGAATCTTTTGTGGTTCCATATAAATTTTAGGAAATTTTTTTCTATTTCTGTGAAGAACATCATTGGCATTTTGACAGAGATATTGAATCTGTAGAATGATTTTGGTAGTATTGACGTTTTACCAATATTGAGTTTTCCAATCCATAAACATAGAATGTCTTTCCATTTTTTTGTTCCTTCTTTGATTTCTTACATTGTTTTAGTTTTCATTGTAGATATCTTTCACTGTTTTGGTTATGTTTAATCCTGGATATTTCCTGGGATTTTTTTGATGAAAGATTTTGTTGTTGTTGTTTACTAATTCAATTTTCTCACTTGTGATCGGTTGGTTCAGTGTTTCTATTTCTTTATACTTTAATCTTGGTAGCTTGTATGTGTCTTAAGAATTTATAAATTTCTTCTATGTTCTCAAATTTGTTGGCATATAGTTGTTCTTAATAATCTCTTATGATCCTTTGTATTTCTGTGATGTTAGTTATCATGTCTCCATTTTCATCTCTGATTTTATTTATTTGGGTCTTCTCTTTTTTTCTTAGTCTAGTTGAAGTTTTGTTGATTTTTTTATCTTTTCGAAAAACCAATAGTTTGGTTGGTTGATCTTTTGAATTGTTTTTAAAAATCTCTCTTTCATTTGTTTCATCTCTGAGATTTATTTTTTGAATACTATTCAAAATGGAAAAATAAGGCCATAAGCATTTTACCTTAATATTGACATTCTGTTAAAAATCCATAATGCTATTCTTCATATATTGCTTACAAATTTCACTAATATGAAGAAGTATAAGAATTGGAATAGTTGGCACTGGATAAATACTATATGAATGAATGAATTAATTAATTGTACTTTCAGGTTACATTTTACTACTGAAATAGAACATTAAAAGATCAGAATAGATATTAATCCTTTTGAAATAACAAAATTATATACTATAGTCGCATACTTAGATATAGACAAGATACAGAAAATGTTCCTTCCATTGATTTTCTAATTATAAATAGTCATCTAGACCATATTAGCAAGCAACTACAAAGACAGCACATAGGGGTTGGGCACAGTGGCATGCACATGTAGTCCCAGCTGCTTAGAAGGTTGAGGCAGGAGGATTGCTTGAGCCCAGCAGTTTGAGTCAAGCCTAGACAACATAGTAAGACTCCATCTCTTAAAACAAAAACAAAAAAAAGACAGCACATAGGAAGAGAATGGATCTTGTGGCCTCTATGAGGTCATCTATGTTGATGGCCCAGCATCCTTCATTTTATAGTATTGCTTTGGTCCGTTTAAGAAGAGGATTGGTGTCAAAGATGGTTAATCTCTGCAAGATTCCAAGGAATGACTTCATCCTCATCTTTGCAGGTGATCAAGGAAGCTGAACCCTGGGATCAAGGTCATCTGATAAGTTTTCGTGAGAATAAAGGAATGGCTCAGACAAAGACTAGCAGGGATTATAACAACTGAGATCAGGTGATAATTATTGTATAACAAACTGGAAGTCTATGAAATTCCACTGGGCTTCTCTGAAGAACCAAGCTCCATTGCTCCTCCAGTCTGTCTCTCAGAATTCTGAATTTTACTTCCCATCCCTAAATTCACAGTTGAGAGCAATGTTCAGGGCAAGGTTGGAGGTCCCATCCTCTTCGCATCTGGTTGTCCATTTATCTTCCCCATTTTTGGTGGTACTCTTCTTCTTCTTTTAGGGTCACAGCTCTGACCTGGACATGGTACCTGTGGGTACCATTTGAGAAACTGGAAAGACGTGACAGGTATAGGAAAGCAGAGCAGTGGTCCCATTTCTCGAGTGGAGAAAAGTTTAAAATTCTCAAATCCCCCTAGTCACATTGAAACCACTTTTGCACAATTATAACTGAGGAAATTATGACAGTGAAAAAAATCAGACCTAACTAACTCCATCTTGCTTCTAACTTTTAAGCTGTCCTTGTTCATTCTTGGGTGTAGGCTGAACTAACTTTGGGAAGGAATTCAGTTCATAGTGTGACTCTGAAACAAAATTGATAACAGCCCTTTTCCAAAAAGACCCTCTTCTTGCCTGGGGACCAGTCTGCCTTTGCAGGACTAACAGTTTAGCTACAAGATTAGAAATTACAGTTTAGGGGTCATGCAGCCTCTGGCTCCAAGAGTCTGAACTGCCCCAAATTGCTCCTGGGATAACATCACTATTGTAGAACCTAAGATCAGTGCTTGAGATATTTTGCAGACCCTGCCCTGGATGGATCAGCTGATACCACACACACTGGTAATCTGGCTCAACCAGTTCTGCCATCCCACCTAGGAACAGAAGACAGCAAGAAAAACTCACAGCGACCCCCATGATTCCATCTTCAACCTGACCAATCAACACTCCCCACTTCCCAAGCCCCAACCCACCAAATTATCTTTAAAAACTTTGATCCCTGAATGCTTGGGGAGACAGATTTGAGTAACAATAAAACTCCGGTCTCCCACACAGCCCACTCTGCGTGAATTACTCTTTCTCCATTGCAATTCCCCTGTCTTGATAAATTGGCTCTGTCTAGGCAGCAGGCAAGGTGAACCCACTAGGTGGTTATGACATTGCATGTACAGAGAAAGTTGATGTTCTGAACACATCAGTTGCATGGCTACTATGTTCAAATTCTCCTTTAGGTTGACACTTCCTTATATGGAGAACTATATTCTGGGAAGAAATGTCAGTCTGGTGCTTACATGGAGTTGGCCACTGATTGGACCAGAGATGAGTATCTGACTCAGCAGTAATCAACTTCAGCAATTAGCTCAGCAACTGAGCTAGCCAGTGACATACAATGGTCACCACAAAAGCAGTGCATTATTCTCCTTTCCCAAAGCATCTACTTAGCAACCTCTCTTTATTCCTTCTCTTTGAATCACATATGCCAGGATGAATCAGCCGTTCATTGATTATAGAGGATACATTGAAGATTTGGCATATTATTGGCCAGATTTGTTGAATAGTAAGGATAATGGATTGTGTTGCGTCCGCATGCAATAAAAACTTTTGAATGAGAATTGTTAAATGAGGAGGAATGCCTCCTTAATTTGCATATACATACATAAACCTAGAAAGGGCTATGACTATTTCTAAAAGAAAACTTTTTTATATGCCTTATCCTAAAAGGAGTTGTTCTGTGCACCAGAATGATATTTCTTAAAGAAACTCTCATTTTAGTGCACTGACCTTTTATAGTTAAAATTATTTGGATAAATTATATTACAACAAAAGCATAAAATATGACACAAAATTAAATAATGAGATAAAGCTACCATGTTGATTTTCTTAGGAAATCAAGAGTTATATTTCATAGTTTGCTGCTCCAGTAAAATTCACAAGTATACACCTTGGACATATTAACTCTATGTGTTTTTTCCTGAATATTGTGACTATTTTCCCACTACTGAGCAGAAGTCCACAAAGTAATATTAGCCTCTTCATTCTCAGTGCTGTAACCCAGTGGAAAACTAATATCCTGGGCAAACATTATAAATATGTTTTATTGTATACTACGGAGTGTTTGCATATCTTAATATCTTCAATACCTTCCTTCAACAACAAAGCAAATCAGGTCTGACACCATTAATTAGTTTTTCAAAAACTCAATAATTAACGTAGCTAAGAGTTATTGCTCCTTCTATCTGATTATATTAATATATAAGAAAAAGTACAACATTTGTGATGTGCAATAACATAGAATGATAGCAAATACCTAATGTAAATGACAAGTTAATGGGTGCAGCACACCAACATGGCACATGTATACATATGTAACAAACTTGAACATTGTGCACATGTACCCTAGAACTTAAAGTATAATAATAAAAATAAATAAATAAATAAAAAGAAAAAAAGAAAATGATAGCAAATAGGCAAATAGTGATTATTATTATAGTTCTGTTTCAAACACTTTGTCAATATTCTAAGCTGCTTTAGATGTGTAAATGAATCTCCCCTTGTCACCATCCAGAATATTGCATGAACAGTAGACTTTCACCTAAAATACCTTTATATTTAATATGTTTATATTTTCATTTTTACCTAACCTATTTTTTCAAGGAAGCTCTATCAAGATAATTAATGCCCATTTTACTTTAAAATGTTAGGATAAGAATTCCAAAGCACATCAAAACCATACTGCTGCTTTTCAAAGAAAAGACTGTCACAGACAGAGTTGAAAGACTCACATATATTTCAGTCTGACTTTTAAATATATAGCGGTTTGAAAAAAAAATCTTATTACAATGGTGGTTTCTATTAGGGATGCTGACAAATTTAACCAATCTAGAACACAAGGTTACAGTTTCAGTGACAAGTGAATTAAAGGGAAATCAGATATTCTATAATCAATGATTTATCTCTTCTCCTCTATTTTAACCAAGGAATTAAATCCAGCCCCAGTTAGTCTAGTTACCTATGATGTGCAAGGCAGACATGATCCATTGTGTCCCCACTGTGAGTGACAGAATGAATGACAGCCTTTGCCAGTCAAAGCCGTGATAAGGACTGGGTTCTGAGAGAAGCTCCTGCTCCAGAGCCATCTGCATTGTCCCAGCCATCATGTCTGGCAGGAAAGCTGATTTGGAGATAAGGAGGTGATGGTGCTGAGCTTATTTCAGAGAAGGATCTCAGCAAACTAATCAGTGCCATCTGCATTTAGAACAACAGTCATCAATTTGGCTTCTTTCTTTCTTTTTTTTTTTTTTTTAACTTTTCATTAATGTTCCCCACTGAATACTTCTAAAGCTTCATTATATTTAGTATACTACCAAAGATGGACTCTTGGTATTCAAGAGCAAACAAAACCAAACTAAACAAAAACACCAAAAAGATCTGAGAATAATGAAAGGCAGAAGCAAGAAGGTCTGTGAAAAATTCTGTTCTGAGGGACTCAGACTGGTGTGAGGCCAGCAAAGACCTTGTTATAGGAGCTCAGAGATTCAAATGCTAATGAAGAGGCAAAGGTTTACTGGAGTCTTGCAGAGAGAAGGGTGGCCTTTGCCCAAGAGGCGTGCATAAATAAAAACAATAACAAAAATACTGCCAATAGAGTGGTAGTCAGCTGGTAATAAGGATCCCTGTCAGCAACTTGAAAGCCAAGTGGAATTAGAAAGAGAGGAAAATTTTGCTTTGGCCCAGGATTGTAGAATGTTTAATTGTTCAAATTCTCAGTATGTTTGCGCACACAAAAATAACTGCGTATGAAAAGTTACTTGGTTGATCCAACAGAGATTCTTCAGGAACTCTGAAACTCAGATAAAAGCAAAGTTAAATATGATAAACCCCACAAATCATGATGTGTTACCTTTGCATAGCTCTTCACAAAAATGCACTCTTTGATAGTATTTGGAAACAGTTAATGCTCAATAGTCTATGAGAACTGAGGAAATTTTCTGGTGGAATGCTTTAGGCATAACAAGATATTCCAGAATGTGTTTTTGTTTTGTCAAATTGCATGTCATTCTGGGGATTTGCTATGGAGAATGGAGTGAAGGCAGAATGAAGGAGGGTCCAAGACCTGGATTAGCTGAAGATTGGACAGGAGGTAGAACTTGAGACTGGAACTCAGAATCTAACACAAAGGCAATAAGCAATGACCCTGGTCTGAAGCACATGGCAGAACCTGCTGTCAGACCACTGAGGAGCCAAGCTCTCCCCATTCATGGAGCAAGCAGTCTGTTCCATCATTTTGAATTTCACCAAGCAAAACAGATAGGACTTTACCCAGGTTCAAGTTGGGGGTGGCGGTCGTGAGGGTAGTGAGAAGCTGCTGTGCTGGAGCACACAGCTGCTGAGAAAGAAGGTTTACAGGGAGAGCTGAACTGCCTCTCCATGTCTGCAGCATAAATGCCAGAGACCCACGATGACCTGTCTCAGAACCTTAGCTCATTGCTACCAAAATAGTCCCAGAGCAATCTGAAACTCAGTGAACATATTCACCTACAGAGTTATTGATTTTCTCAATTTCCAATTAAGGTTTAAGGTGCTGCACAGTGGTGTACAGGTGCAGGCTTTGAGGTCAGGCTGCCAGGTTTGAATCCTAGCTCCATCACTCACTAGCATGTGTGACTTTGGCAAAGATTCTTAAATTTTGTTGCCTTAGTTTACTAAACTGTCGATAGTGTCAGTAGTTCTTACTTTTCAGTAGGTTACTGTAATGATGGAATGGGTGGATCCATGCAAGGCATTTGAAATAGTAACTTGGCTCCCACTGAACTTGCAATAGCTATTTTGTTGTTATTGTCATTGCAGTTCCACATACTTCAGATCAAGGAGAGGGAGAAACTGTTTTTGTTATGCCCCCTCCTTCTACTTATTGTCACTTCCAGATCTTTTTTTTTTTTTTTTTTTTTAATCCTCCTCTTGTAAAACTTGCTATTCTGACCTCCAAACTACCCCTTTGGAGTAGTTTGTACTCAGTTCTTGGTCATTCCTCTTGATTCACAAATGAGTTCTGCTTTGGACCCACTCTTCCTTACCACACAAACTTCAGCCAGTAGGCTGATCCATGCAATCACAAGACCCCTAGGTTCTTAACCTTCTTGTATCAGAGGATCTTTCCCATCACAATATCTCCCATATCCTTTCTCCTGATGACCTGATCACTCTTCATCATCATTAGAATAGGCACCATCACGAAACCTGGAAAGAAAACATTCTGCCTTGGGACCACATTTCCTCTCCTCTCTTCTTGATTCCATTAAATTCCCTCCTTACAATATTATGGTCCTAAAGACATTTAAACCATTGAGTTTTTACCCTCTTTCACCTTCCTCCTAACTTTACTTCTCCAACTTACAGGCAAACGTTCATTATTAGAATCATATCAGATACACAGTTTCTTTCTTGCTCCTTTGTACTCTCCTTGAAAAACACACATTCCAGGTGAACGTAACCATCTGCCGTCTTAATGCTCCCTCCCAGGTACTTGAGTGTAACTGGAGAAAATTGTACAACCTGGCATACTGTTTTCACTTCATGACCTTATATGTCAAATGGGGTCTCAATACTAACCAGAAATTCTCTTTCTCAATTAAGCTCACTTCCTGATATCTGAGATGACTACTTCAAGTATTATCCTCTCTCGTTTCCTACCACAGATGACTATTTCAAACATTATTTTTGTTCATTTCCTACCCTAGCTCTTTGACTCATTCTTAGCTAATGCTCCAGATAGATTCGGCTGTGTCCTCACCCAAATCTCACATTGAATTGTAGTTCCCATAATCCCCATGTGTCATGGGAGGGACTGGATGGGAGGTAACTGAATCATAGGTTTTATAAGGGGCTTTTCTTGCTTTGCTCGGTTCTCATTCTCTCTCCTGCCGCCCTATAAAGAGGTGCCTTTCACCATGATTGTAAGTTTCCTGAGGCCTCCCCAGCTATATGGAACTGTGAGTCAATTAAATCTCTTTTCTTTATAAATTACCTAGTCTCAGATATTTCATCACAGCAGTGTGAAAATGGACTAATACAGTTCTATTCTTATGTTTTACTGTGAAAATAGAAATCGCTGAATGCCAACTTCCTTAATAACCAGATCTAAAACTTACTTATATACCCACAGAGCTTCTTTTTTTCCCTCCTTTCACATTTAAGAAATGTAAATGCCAATCTCTTGACAGGTGCTTAGAGTCCTTTTCAGCTTCTCTTTCAAGCTCTTTTTTTCCCATTTCTAGTTGTAGCCCTTCATATCCACTAACATTTTGAGAGATGTAATTGTTTCTAGGTTTATGTGGTCATTGACATATTTGTATATAAGCACGCTCATCTGTAAATGGTCAGATAAACCTACCGAAATATAGAAAATTATTAAGAATATACTTAACATCTTTAAAACCATAAGACAGGTCTTAATGCAGTAGAATAAGTGAAATATTATCCAAATATACCTGCTACTTCTCAGCTTTTCATAGTCATAAAATTCAAGTTCTCAGAGATTAAATATCCTCTGAATTTATTATGATTGCTTCATTGAATAGATTATACTTCTAAAATCAATTGGACGAATTTGCAATTTGCGATGTTAGTCTTCCCCAAAGTCTATTCAGATTTTAGATATTTTGAGTTTGAATCCACTTCAGTAATTCTCTCAGCTTTTTGGTCTCAATTGTTATGGAACAAAATAACTATATTAAAACTGTACAATGTTATAATTTAAAGCTGGATA
Organism: Homo sapiens; assembly: GCF_000001405.40. NCBI lineage: Eukaryota > Metazoa > Chordata > Mammalia > Primates > Hominidae > Homo > Homo sapiens. The sequence continues at coordinate 41,330,927 of NC_000012.12, read as the reverse complement.
CTGAAAACCTTTTAATGATATGAGCTAAAGGCAGTATCAAAATATTTCTGGGGTGATTTCTTGAAAGATTATTGCATTGAATGCATACAAAGTCATGCATATTGTTTCAACAACATTTATTTTCCAGAAAGGCAAATAAAGGCTAATTATTCTTACTTTGAGAAACTTAAAAAAGTAACTTATTCTGAATTACTTTGGCTACTGGATAGTATTATTTTGAATGTATTTCTTCACTTGCATATTGACCTAATACTTTTTGGCTTTTCTTATTTTAATAACAGTAGGAATAGTAACTAAAATTTATAGAAGCTTATTCCAGCATATTTATATTGTGCTAAGAGCTTAGACACATTAGATGTTTTAATTTTCTCATGAGCTTTATGGAATAGGTACTATTAGGAAAGATCATAGGAAATTGTCTTTTTTTTTTTTTTTTTACCATATTAGACCTACAGAACTGCAAGTTATATGATTTAAACTGATTTTAATATCCCCATTTTACAGATCAGGATACTGAGATACAGAGAGGTGAAGTTGATTGCTCAAGACTTGTGTCATAGTCAGGTCAGGTGGTTCAAGAGCTGGAAGACTTAAAACCCAGAACGGTGTCTTAGCAACACTTGGAATGTCAAGATAACTCTTTCTTCTATTGGAGAAGTTTGATCAAGGACAACTCGTGAGCTCTGCAACATGGGTTATCAATGGTTTAACTCATTCAGATTTTATCAGAAATACTTTGTACTTTGTCCTCCAGAGTAGCACTCACTATGCTAATTTTGGAAGCATAAAAGTAACATAAAATTTTTTAAACAATACATGATAATCCTAAATTATTCATTGTTATGGAAAATCAAATAACAAAGGATTTTTAAATGATTTAGCTTTTCTCTTGAGGAAACATGAAAAAGCACATTATCTCTGTATGCTATAATTCTCAGACTAATCAAAATCCAGCCTTCAGGCGAGGAATGTCCAGTGGCTATCATGAGAGAATCAGGTATAAAAGATTATAGGGGAGGATTGAGGATTCATCCTTAGGTGTCAGGTCTGATCAACTTGAGTAAAAACAGTACTTGGCTTGAATGATGGTTTACTCTACAGAAATACTTTCTTTGCATGATGATTTTGTATATTTTCTCATAAATTTAGTGGAGTTGAATTTGTATAAACAATGTCAGATGAAACAACACTCATTAAAAAGCCTAGAAAAGGAATTTAATCAGCAATTAAGAATCTCATTTTGCCTGTTCTTAGTAGTCATTATTTTAGCATTATTCTACAATTATATTAAAGAAAAAATGCACATTAACATTACATTACTACACATACACTCACACCAAAAATGACAACAGATAAATTTATTGTCATAAACAATATGCTGAACTGACTTGAAAACATAATTAGGGGACTGATTAAAAGTGACTAAGATGGCTGAATTAACTAAGCAGAAAAAAATTTCACAAGCTACCATGGGATTTATAAACACATGCTTTGACAAATATTTACTCTTTGATGAACTTTCCTTTTCAAAAGCATAACATGGAGAAAACATAGTGCATCAACATATGGAAAGTATCAGCTTAGAATGTGTAGGTATTAAAGTTAGTTTTAGCCATGGAAGAACATATTGAATACACGTTCCTGTATTAAATACAGTCTCACCTACTTTAGGAGAATGGGTGTGTGCAATACAAGCAACTGGGAATGCTTCAAAGGAGGTTTTCATCTCTGAGGCTTCCCAAACAAATGAACATCAAGCTATAATACCCAATAACTAGCAGCGGATGCTGTCAAGAAGATGCAATACGATTCTAACCTTATCCCTAGATTCACTTGCAGAGGAAGAAATTTAAAGTTGAAATAGAGGTGAGGAACAAGTCCAAACCCTAAAGAGAAGACAATCACCTCAAGCCCAAGTTTGCTTCCATTCTGTTTTATAGTGCCCAAATTTGTTTAAGTTACAAAAGGCATTAGTGAACTCTGTGAAAGCTGCTTCCTGGAGTACTGTTGATAATACTGTACTCTAAATCTTCTCCTCCTGGCCAATAAACAAAGTAACAAATCAGAAAAGCCTCACTCCCAGTCACAAAATAAAGTCCACTCAACTATGCTTAAATGTCTGTCTCCTGTCTTCCTGAGTCTGGTAAGACTTGTTTGTTTTGAGTCACAGATACATGTTATCCTTTTCTGGAAAGAAGACTGCTGTATGGAAATATTAAGTCTATCAGTGAAAGCAGCACCATCCTCCATGCTGATGGGCTCTTAGAAAGAACTTAGACACCTCTTTCTTGGGAAGATCCAGACAGATATAAACAGATTTTTAACAACCAATGTTTTTTAAAAAAAGTTGAGCTGTTTTATAAACAAACCTGCCAAATCTGCAATTGTATATATATTCTATTTGTTTTAGATACAGAGCATCACTCTGCTGCCCAGGCTTGAGTGTAGTGGCATTATCATAGCTCACTGTAACCATGAACTTGTGGTCTTGCTTCCTAAGCCTCTCATGTAGTTGGGATTACAGGCATGTGACACCAAACTGGGCTATTCTATTTATTTTTTATTATTTGTAGAGTTGGGGTCTGGCTATGTTGCCCAGGCTGTTGTTCTATATTTTTCAGTATTATATACACAGTATATTTTTCTGGACACATTTTTATCTAGTGCATAGCCATCAAATACCAAAGAACCCCCAAACAATCTTAATCTGCTTTTTGTATAAAGTCAATGACTCTGATCAAAGATTAAAAACAAGAATATTTACAATTAAAGTTTAGATTTTGTTTTCAGCTTTATCTTTCACTGTTCTTTTATAGTGCATAGTTAATAGTTGGGTAGACCACCTCTTGTCTTCTGAGCCCCATTAAATACCGTTTGAATTCCTAATCATATATATACCATATTTTTTCATATTTGACTTCATTAGTGTAGTTTTGCTAATATCAGCCATGTCCCAGCATAAACAAAAAATTAAAAATATTTTAATTGCTTCAGTAAGACTAAAACAAATATATTTGAATGCATAAGTATGTGTAGAGGACTGGATATGTAAAGTATCTCACATTTATAGTTATAGCTGTATACTTATACACACACACATGCACACACACACACAGACACACACATACATATACCAACATACAGAGAGCAGTTTAACATTATTTTATATCCCAGTTAAATAACATGTGAGTTCATTTTTAAAGAGGAACCACTGGAGAGGTTGTAGTGACTGGTGACTGTGAGTTCTTTAACAACAGAAAGTTAAAAGTGATAGTAGCCATTTCAGCCTTAAGCCCCTGGCCTTCTGCACTGTTTCAAGAGTGTGCTGAGAGCTCGCATGCTTTTTGCTGTTTATCCTCTACTTCACAAGCTACACATAGGTTTTATTCAAATTGAACAGGCCTCTCCGGTTGATTGACGTTCACAGCTAAAACCACTTTCCCAAAATTAAAGCAGCAGAAATCAAGGTGCATACTCTAGCAGTGATAACAGTTTCCCTGTAAATTCCAAACAATGTGCTGTAGCTTAGGTGTCTTAGGTACAGAGGGAAAAGATTTTGCAAAGAAGTAACATCAAAAGAACAGAGAGAGGCTTGTGCTTTAGCACTGTGGATTAACTGCAAAAGGAAAGTCCCCTAAGGAGCAAACCCACAGGAGGATATGCTCAAGCTTTCTGCCAATAGCTAACAGCTGAAGAAAGAAAGGGCTACTGGGGGAGAGAGAAATAAAAAAAATAATGGCCTGAACAATGTAAGCTCAAGGCTGCACTTACCACCCCAAGTTAGCAAAATGGAGAATATGTACTCAAATTCGAAAGAAACAAAGCCTTCTTAATGGTAGAAAACCAGGGAATACAGAAACAAAGAGGAATTGCATCTTCAAGAGAAATAGAGATTGTCAATGACTATACTGACCTGGAGAGAAACTGATTGAAAAAAATGGAGAGAGAAATAATTCAGTTCAGACATTCGGGAGCAAATAATATGTCATTCAGTATTATTTCCTTTTATTTTAATTGAACTTATTTGTCCATGTACTTTATTAACACCGGGATAACCTGTTATATATGATATTCACTTTAGCTAATGATATTTTACTTTTTCTTTAGATGTTTAAATTATACTCTGCTCTTGTGGGAACTGTTTGCTTCCTCATTTTCCAACTGTAAGCAGGAATAAATTTTACCTTATCATGTGCATCTAGTTAGGACTCTTGTGGTTTCATGGAGGAAAATATACTGGGTCGAAGATAACTGCCTGCACCAGAATTATGCTTGATGCTAATAACCATTGTTTGTTGCTTAGACCTTCCAGATCCTCTCGCCCTTGCTGAGGCTGGGGTATCTTGATCCCATGTGGGCCAAATTTTCTACTCACTTTTTAATCCTTTTCTGCTCAATCTTCAACCTTGCTCTGTGACTCCTGCCACCTGATATCCACATGGAACAATTTTTGTGATTTTTTAAAAATATCAAGATGTGTTTTTAATTAATGGAATTTGAAGTTTATTTAGTGGATCATAACCAGAAAATAAAAGCAAATAGGATAGAAACAATCAAAGTCCACCAGCTGCAATATGGTTAGGTAAACTGTGTGTGTATGTTGTCATGTAAGTGCATTGCTACCGGTTATGGTCAAGAAACATTGAAAGAGGCTGGGCATGGTGGCTCATGCCTGTAATCCCAGCACTGTGGAAGGCCAAGGTGGGCAGATTGCTCGAGCCCAGAAATTTGAGACCACCCTGGGCAATGTGGTGAAACCCCATCTCTAAAAAAAAAATTAGCCGAGTGTGGTGGCACATGCTTATAGTCCCAGCTATTCAGGAGGCCAAGGTGGGAGGATTGCTTGAACCTGGGAGGTTGAGGTTGTTGTGAGCCATGATATCATGCCACTGTACTCCCAAGGCAACAGAATGAGACCTTGTCTCAAAAACAAGAAAAAAAAAGAGAAGAGAAACATCGAAAGCACTGTTGTGGAAGAGCACTTATCCCTGAAACTAAAGAGTCGAAAACATCCCCAATGGAATTATTCTGGAAGGCCTTTTCAATTTATTTGATAATATATTTATTGTATTCAAGTTTTCCAAGACATGCACTTTAAGTCTATTTATTTCTTATCATAGTGTATGTTCCATGTTGGGAATAATGCTTGTTTGCTAAAATAAATGTGTTTTTTAATCACTCTGACTTTTTAATTTCACCATATCTAAGGTTTGAAAATCACATTAACTGAGACAGATCAATAGTTAAACTCTCTAGTAAATGATCTTTGACAGAAACTCTAAATTCTGGGCCTTGAGTGTTGCTCTTAACTAACCCGTAGCTGACCTTCTCTAGAAGGGCCTCACTGGCTTCCCATAGCTGTCAACCTCCTTGCTGTTGACTTGAGTTTGTTGAGTTTCCAACACTTGGTATCCTCCTCCCTAGCATAACCCGTCTTATCTTATTTCCTCAGAGATGGTTGGTTACATGTTTTTAAAATTGATTATTATACTATTTCTGATAATCCAGTTAAAGAGGACAATAAGCACGAAGATACTGTAATCACAAATGCATACAAATGAATCTTGGTTCATTTTATTTTCAGTATAATCTGCAAATTATGCCATCTAAACACACTGGTACAAACAACTTTCATAGAAATGTTAATTTCTAACATAAGTTTTGCTAATTTTTTGAAGTAAGGATTCAAATGCCACTGAATTATCACATAATGATATGACCTAAAATTAAAATCCCAGACACTGGAATATTTATTATCAAGGATACTATATTATAGAGAAAAAGGTAATAATCATGGTATAATACTTATTATTTCACAAACATTAATTATATACATTTAAATATCTCCATAGTTGGTCCACAGTTTAAGAGAGATATTTGCTCTACTATATTAATTGATAAAATAGATAGACTGGAGGTATCTAGACCCATGCTATCTAATAGCAATATAATGTGAGCACAGATGAGAGCCACATATGTAATTTCAAATGTTAAATGTCCTAGTGTCTACCTTTTTAAAAAGTAGCAGGGAACAGTTGGAGTTAATTCTAATATATTTTATTTAACTCCAAATATTCTCACATCAACATGTACTCAATATAAAAATTGATAAGGTATTTTTATATTTTTATACCAACTCTTTGAAATCTAGCACTTTTCAATTCACACTTGTCATGTTTTAATTGTTCAAAAGTCATCTGTGACTATTGACTACTATGTTGGAAAGCACACAGATCTAGAATATATGACAAATACCACAATTAGTTTTGCACCAACCTAATACCTATCTGGATTTATAGAAATACACACCATAATGTTCTTTTAAATCACTTATTATTGATGACACATGTATGACAAACCAGTTGCTGGATTGTAGAGATCTGTGTGTAAACGAAAAATATTGCTATTTTCCCAAAGACACAAGAGAAAATATGTAGTTAATGGATAGACAGCTCTTCAATTAAAATGTGCTTTTCATATAAATTGTATAATTTCTGCTCTTTCATAATGTTTCTCAAAAAGTACTAGAATATACAGTTGTTTCAATAGCTCAACAAGCTGAACTACTGATTAAAACAGTAATCTCTTTCCTGATTTTTAAAGTATGGCCTAATCTTCAAACACTTGTTTTACCTAGAAATTTGCACAGATATTTTTTTTTGTATAGTAAGATATAAATGGGATGTTTAAGGAGACATTTAATAACTTGCTGGTGGTATCTGCAAAATCTCATGCAGAGGAATGAAGGAAGGAAAAATCAGATCATTTTTATTTAGATATGTTTTATTTAAGCAATCACTCCATATCATAATGAATCACAGCATCATATTGAAAACACTAACTGTAACAAACAACATCCTATTTCATATATTACTGCAAGTGGGGTTTTGGAAGTTCAGTTATAAGACTATGAATGTCTTATAATAGCTAAGTACCTAGAATTCAAAAGAAATAAGCCTAAACAGTTGTTTACGTTTAAGAGCCACACAGCTAAAGTTTTGGATTATATCTTTATAACGTGTTTTCTGTTTGAGTTTAATAATAATATATTAACTCAGGTTAACCTGTCATTTAAAAAAATTAATATAAATCACATCTCTACAAGAAATTTTATAACCATACTTATTAATAAAATAAAACTAATGTGTATTACCATATAAATGTGCAGAAAATATTTAGATATTTTATAATTCATTATTAGAAAAGAAAAAATTAAATGTTCAAATTATAGCATTTGTTACTGTATTAGTGACATACTTTTTGGATAATATAAATAATTTTATGACTGTTTTAAAGCATATATTTCAAATTATATAAAATTTATTATACTCTTCTTATTCTACAACTTGGTTATGATTATTTTTTGCTTTTATTTGCCTGAACAATACAATAAGAAGATCAATCTCTTCATCTGGCAAAAATATTACTTTTTCATCTTCTGCTTATCTTGGAAGCAATTTCAATAACTTCATTGCTTTTGGGCTTTATTCTATTTTATTGTTCTTTTATCTTTTTTTAGATATCTATCAAATTCAACTAAAGATCTTATGTAAATGTAAGAATGAGGTCAATATTTTCATATATTACTAAGAAGGTAAATTATTTATATTTTTAAAACTGACTTTGAGCTTTCATTCCAATACAAATGAAGAATTACTTTATTTAAATATTTCCTTTAAGGCATGTCCTCTCCATAGAAGACTGTTCCAGCATAGTCCTCCTGTCAATTTGAAGCTGCAACTGAGATGCTAACCTTAGGAGCAAAGCAGAGAACTTTATCCTGCTGGGCGTAAAGGAAATGCAATATTTTGATAAGATCCAGAAAGTCCTAAAGAAAAGTAATGCAACCACTAATCTAGCTACCTTCATCACCAGCCAGACACAGTGGGATGAGGAAACACATTTCTTTACTGGATTGGCCTTATTTGCCCTCTGCCATGTTTTTCATTACTCTAGCAATCCAGTAGATATCATTTTCAAGATTTTAAAACAATCTAATTTTTTTTCAAGATGTATGAGAAAGAAAATAAAATGAAAGAAAGAAAAAAAAGAAAAAAGGAAAGAAATCGAGAAAAAGATCATAATTCAGATTCCTTTAAATGAAGATATTTCCAATAACTTTAAGAAAATTTTGCCCGGCGCGGTGGCTCACGCCTGTAATCCCAGCACTTTGGGAGGCCAAGGCGGGAGGATCACGAGGTCAGGATATCGAGACCATCCTGGCTAACATGGTGAAAACCTGTCTCTACTAAAAATACAAAAAACAATAATTAGCCGGGCGTGGTGGTGGGCACCTGTAGTCCCAGCTACTCAGGAGGCTGGGGCAGGAGAATGGCGTGAACCAGGGAGGCGGAGCTTGCAGTGAGCAGAGATCCTGCCACTGAACTCCAGCCTGGGTGACAGAGTGAGACTCTGTCTCAAAAAAAAAAAAAAAAAAAAAGGAAAGAAAATCTAAATTTCCAAAGTTCGTTTTATACAACATTCCATAATACACTCATTGTATAAAATGAGATCTAGCTATACAGTTTGGAGTACTTTCCCAGTATGAGATCCAAAATTACTCAGTAGGAATCCTCAAAGTCTACCTACAAAAATTTTGAGGAGCTGAGCACAGTGGTTCGAGCCTATAATCCAAGCATTTGGGAGGCCGAGGTGGACGGATTGAGGTCAGGAGTTTGAGACCAGCCTAGCCAACAGGGTGAAACCCTGCCTCTAGTAAAAGCAAAAAAATAGCTGGGTGTGGTGGCACGTTCCTGTAGTCCCAGCTACTTGGGAGGCTGAGGTAGGAGGATAGCTTGAACCCAGGGGGCAGAGGTTGCAGTAAGCCAAAATCATGCCATTGCACTGCAGCCTGGGTGAAGAGCAAGACTGTCTCAAAAAACAAAACAAAACAAAAATTGAGGAAATCTTAACATTGGTGCACCAGCCCAGAGGTGTGTTAAGAACCAGTTTTAAATATATAATTTCTAATATGCTTTCTGGGTGGAGAGGTAGTTTGATTGGTTTACAAACATATCCACCTAAATGAAGGAGAAAACAGTAAGTTTTCCAACCGTAAATCCCAATATAATTATTCAAATTAGAAAGTTATAATAATTCCAAAATATCCTCGATGATAGCATCTCTGTTCAAGGAAATTAAAGGTTAGTTTGTCACATTTACACAGGCGATCATCGTCTTATTATGTCTTTGTTTCCTAAGGCAATATGAGATGGCCTATTTATTTAAAAAACAGTGATTAAGACTGATCAGACTCCATCCAAAAAACCAAAACCAAAACAAACAAACAAAGCAAAGGAGTAGATGCTACAAGTGAGCTGAATAAATAGATTATGAACAAAAAGAACAGTGATATTGACTAGAATTTCTAGGAACTGAGGTAAATGAAATAATATTGGGTTAGTTTTTACTTTTCCATGAGAGAGCACACAAAATCTGCATATAGAAACACACTGTTTACTAGGAATAATGTCACAAAGGAAATTTCTCTGTCAGGCTGTGTGTGAAGATCAGTGAAATCTGCACAATATTATAAATTACAGCATTAAAAACAGATCCAGAAATAATGTTCAAATGATCCTAAGATTAGAAGCAGAGAATATACCACTAAATCTTAACTCAGTGAAGGCATTTCTGTGCCATTGAGGCAGTGTGGTCCAGGCATACCACTTTCCCATGACCGACCTAATTGAATAAAAGAGCAGATGGAAAACTCAAACACTAAAGGGCTGCATAATCCAGCTTTTGTGACATAAACAGCAGACACCTTATTTTTAAAAAGTGCATATGAGAAGTTTTTGTTTAGTTCACTATTAGGTTTCCCAGTATGTAAGAAAAATTTTAGAAATTTATGCTGAAAAATGAAGATTTTACTTCATACTAAAATGTTTCAGGGGTATGATTATCCAAACTTGTAAAAGTTGTAATATCTAATTATATTTTATTATAGAAATGATATATATTTACTGTGAAAATGCTAGAAGATGCAAGCAAACAAAAAGAACAAAATAAAAATTACATAAAATTGTTACCACCTAGAGATAACTGGTGTTAATTTTGTGGTGTGATTTCTTCTTGAAATTTTTATAGTTATAAGATTATTTATTCTAATTAACTTGACTCATGTACTCTGCTGAATTTTAATTCACAGATTGTCATTCAAAAGGAGAGATGAGATTTTTTTTCTCTGTATTGTCACTTCCTACTTCATTCAATGAAATGTTCACATGTTAAGACTTTTAAAACCGTACTGAGTCAACTATTTCACTGTTGACATCTGCTTGTCTCTGATTGCAGGACAGCCTGAGGTCAACTGGAAATACATGTCTCCCTTCTGACCAGGTGCCCAGGGTCTCCCCATTCAGTTATAGGTCCACTGCTAGAAAGGAAGAACTGATAAGAGGACACCTCAAGACAATGTGAATAGGGTTTTATCCTGTGTTCTAACAACATCCCAGATAACAAAGCTCTTCTTGAATTGTTAAGATAGAAAACCGATGGCCATAACTGAGTTCTCAGCAGCAAGAAATCCAAACATTTATTGATAGACAAAATGAAAACAAGTGGAATCTATTTAGTCAGCACACATCAGGAGAGATGAAATGTCAACACAGGATCTAATATTGCTCCCGGGGCACATCTAAGGAAACTGGTAGCACCCACACAGGTCTGTGAGTCCAATAGCATTCTCAGAAACCCTTCCAAGCCAAGGAATGTGAAGTGGGATGGCGAGACCACCAGCAATTACCTGGAACACAGCCAAGGCCCTAGTGCTGAAACGATGTTCTCGCTACCTCAGCCCCTAGGTGGGGCTGTGCAGAAGATGGATAACAGCAGGTACTGGGACAGCAGCTGTAAGACAGGCTGAGCAGGGAGGCTGCAAGGCCCAGTGGTGGCAGAATAAATGCCTAAAGACGTGCAGAAGCACAGTCTAAAGTCATACTGCACAGCTGCCGCTGCTGGGAAGCAATAGGAGGTGGCCAACCCAAGACAAGCAGCAGAGATGGAGTGGCTCTTGTTGCAGAAAAGGGTAGGGCTACCATAGGTTTAAAAAGCAGGCAGCAGGCAATATACTTCTGCAAGGGTTGCAGGCATATTGCACCCGGGGTGCAACCACACAGTCGCAGGTGAGATAAATAGTTTATGTTTTTTGTTTTTGTTGTTTTTTACCTCTAGGAACGTTTAATAATGACTTTCAACCTCAGTTACATTATCTGAAAGAACCAAGGTGTCCTATCTGGGGAAGAAAAGAAAAGTTAAACCCTGGCTGATTTTGGAATTGGTGGGCAGGTTATTCATGAGAGGGCCTGTGTGCTTGTGAGCTTTTGCCTTTCAGTGAAAGGAGGAGGAAAGAGATTTGTGCCAAGGTGCTGTGGAGAGACAGTAGATGTGGCATTGAGGAGGAGCGGTGGCTGGTTTTAAGGGTCTTTGAAGCAAGCAGTTTGTGCAGAATGATGAGGGAGGGACTGTATTCATGGGAGGCTGTGAGACTGTGGCCACAAACACTGAGAACCCAGGCCCCCAGTGACCTAGCTCACGACAGAGTGAGAGCAGGTCATAGGCTTCTCTCCCAACCTCTGCAAAGCAGTCCACCCACAGCTTCAGTACCCAGGGCATTCATCATTACAGCCACTACTGGAGGCTTAGGTCAGTTTTCGGGGTGCATCAAAGGCAGCTGGAGCAACAGAACATGAATAAACCTTCCAAAAACCCTCTGTGAAATCTTAGGGAGGCTGAGGAAGACTTCAAAGGGAGGTTAAGGTCTCTGTTGTTGAAATAAGTGTCAGAATTTAGGCATTAATGCGACCACGATCTCATTTGTACTAGTGAGGTCTGAAGCATTCAAGATGCATGTGAAAATTTGCATGTTTGTTTTAGGTTACAGATGTTCTGAGAAAGTAATTATGCAACATACGTGCTAGGGTTTAAAGTAGGTCCTGGCATGAAGAAGTTACTTATTTCTTCCAGAAACATGGTACAAGGAACTTTACATGATCTTTCCTTCTAATCCTTGTGACAGGCCACTTTCCAAATTATTAAATGATAATTATTAATGTCTCTGAAATAAGATTCAGAGAGGTAATAATCTATCCATCATCAAACAGTTGTAAGTGAAAGAGTCAGAACAGGAAGAGACTTCCTACTCCTATTTTCCTGTCCCCACTCACATTACACTTAGATTTCTCAAACAGAAGTGGGAAGGGAAGGGAGGTGATGGAGAAAATCATTAGAATCTGGTGTGCTTAGTTTTAAAAAGCACAACCAATAAATCCACTGTTTTCATTATACAACTGCAGAAAGTAAAGTGTGATACAAATGCTCTTGGCTGGTAGGCACAGTGGATGATGTTATGTGGCTAGGGGGTCCCTACATCTCACCATGTTGACTTACCACAAGGACCTGGCATATGCAGAAGCTCAGTGAGACACCACAATGTATTAATAACTTGTTATTTGTCTCTGGGTGTTGGGATTGTGGTTAATTCTTATTTTCTTCTTTGTTTTCCCAATTTTCTACAATAAGCATGCATCATTTCTAAACACAAAAGTAGTTTCTAAGGGTTCAGTTAATTTTGAAGTTTAATGCATATTAGAGTATGGAAATAATTTTGATTGAGTAGTCATAGTGAGAAGGTAGCAAATAGAATTATATATAGGTACTTAAATAAAATGTCTCTAGGAAAAACAATGAAGGAAAACATGCTAAATCCCAGGTCATTTTGATTATCTTCTGAAAACTGATCCTAAGACTCAAATCTAGGCAATAATAAACGATCTAAACAACAAAGTTTTCCAGCAGCTCTGTTCTCTTTTAGGGTTGTTTTTTAATGGGATATTCAATAAATATAAATAAGCAATTTCATGAAAAGTACATTAATGAGTAAACTACCTATTGTTTAAGGGATAAAGCAATGAGAAGAATGAAGGGCTACACTTGCCTCCATGGGGAACATCAAAATCACCTGCCTGTGGTTTTTTTCAACTTACAAAACCTGCCTGAACATTTCGTACCACCTGCTACTATCTTTTCCCAGATTTGGATACATCAGTAGTTAAAAATAGGAAGCGATTGAAAATCACTCTTGTAGTGAGTTACTACCCTGATGTTAATGTGTTCAATTCTCCCAGTGTGTGCAGGTGGAGAGCAGTGGAGAAGGTGGAGCCCGGAGTCCATGTATAACTGTCCAAAAGTGTCACATTGAAAATACTAGAAAAAAATTCTTACTGCACTAGGGACAATGTTCATTATAATTTACAATTATTCATACTAATTATATCATTATGAGCAAAATTTGAGTTAAAATAATTTCCACAGGGTTTCTTTCTTTGTTTTGCTTTTGCTTCACAAAGGAAAAAAACAATCTCACGATGGTTAATTTTATGGGTCAACTTGGCTAGTCACAGTTCCCATATATTTGGTTATACCAGTCTAGATATCTCTGAAGGCATTTTTTTAGATGAGCTGAACACTTAAATCAGTAGACTCTGAGTAAAGCAGATTATTCTCCATCCTGTGGGTGGACCTCATCCAATCAGTTGAAGATCTTAAGAGAAAAAAGACTGACCTTCCCTTAGGAAGACACAACTCTACCTTCAGACTGACTTCCAACTTGAGCAACATCAACTCTTCCTTGCATCTCCAGCATGCTGGCCTGCTCTGCAGATACTGAATTTGACAGCCCCACAACCATGTGAGTCCATTCCTTAAAATAATTTTTTATCTCTTTATCTGTTTCTAGGTAGATAGATGTTTACCTATTTATCTCTCTCTCTCTAAATATATATATGAGAATTATGCAAATATACATACTTGTATACCACATAGATAATTCTCTATGTAATATACAAATATACTATATATATATATATATATATATATACTTTATGTAAGTTATGATTCTCTGGAGAACTCTAATATAACACCCCCTTACTCCCAAAAAGAGCAAGTGACATTGGGTGCTTGATGATTAAAAGCTTTTCTACCATTACAAGGCAAGCTGCTGTACCTGCCTTAGCCCTTATGTGATGGACAGGAAAACAGACAGACTCACAGAAACCTTGAGGGGAGTCAATGAGATGGAGGCCAGGTGTTCTGGCAAATAATAGACAAACCTCAATGCATGACTGAAAGTATCAGAATTTAAAATGATATTATCAAATTTGGGCTCATGAATGCCATAAGAAATAAGATTTCAGTTTCTTTTATAGGAGGTAATTGGATTAAATTGCTTAAAGTACCAACAAGCTAGACTATAAGTGATCTTATAAGCCATACAAACATGGGTACTCGTGATACAACCATTTCTATTGATGCCATGTATTGGAATCCTCTTGAAATAGACATTTGTATTATTTTCATAGGTTATAATAAATATTTAGTTGTGTCTATACTTGTAGGAAATTCATTGTCCTGGGCTACAGTTTTTATTTTATACACACACACACACACACACACACACACACACACACACATTTGCCTTTTTCCTCTAGTAATCATACTGATCTCAGAGCTGCTCATTAGAAATGCTTCCTAGATTATTTGCTTATGGTGAATACTAATCATACAATGAAAGCACATTCCAACTATTAAGAAAGAAAAAGCAGATCCTCTTCCTCATTGCTTCCCTATCTTGATTTTAACATACGCTTTCCTCTTACCCAGGATTATTTATTTATACTGGCATGTCTTCTAAACTAGAGGGGTCAATACATGAAAAATAGAAACATTGTAATAATAGATTATGATCACTAGGTACGAATATCAGGAGAAAGAGACAGCATTCAAGTTGGAATCAACAGCTTTCCTATTAAAAAAAGAAAATGGGTTACAGTTCTACCTGTTTTAGGGTTCCAAGAAAGAAAATACATTATTTTAAGACTTATTTCTGAAGGATTTGCCTCTCTCCCTGGACACTTCACCCTACCTCACTTCATAAGTCACATGCTGTCTAGACCAGCTTCAAGGTTCACTCTAAAAAGATTACATTCACAGGGTCACTGAGAGTGAAGGTGGGGGAAGGAGATTTCAGACTGGAGAATGGAGCTTTGATTTATGTTGGGTTGCAAATTTAGGTTCTGACCAGGACTTTCTACCTTTCCAATTTAAAAAGCTAGGACAACAGCAAAAGTAAAACAACTTGCAATACAATTTAAATGAGTATAATAAATTAGGATAAGGGCAGGGCAATTTACCTACATAGTACTTATACATAGTTCTAGAATAATCACTGTACTTTACAAGTACTGCATAATACTGTTTAAAATCCTATCACTGGATCATTCATTCCTCATTTTCCTAGTGTTACAAGCTTATTATATCAAAACTGCATTTATAATTTATTAAAGAAAATCACAAGAATTATAGTTTTATACTAACCAAGATTAAAAATCAAACTATAATGGTAACAAATAATATTGGAATCTTTATGCTCATATTAATTTTTTATATTTTACTCAAAAACAGGGGTTGTAGTGTTTATGTGCTCTCATACCTTTCATATGCATCTTCATTTAATTCAAAGGTCAAATGCCAGTGGTGTGGATCAAAGCTTTATAATATAATAAACAAGAGTGGGAAAAAAATCAAATGTCAGTTGACTTTTTCACTATGGTGATCATGACAGTAGAAATAATAAACTAAACTGAATTTTATATACTGGTCAGCAGAGGAGGTTTTCATTGTTATGAAGTAGGCATGCATAAGAACAAGGACAAGTAGAGTTCATAAAATGTCATTTCACAATGAAATATCTTCTCACTTGTTTCCTGTAGGTTTGGCTTCATAAGCTTTCAGACTGAAAATATGGATAATATAACTGAGTGGAATTCAGAAAGAGTAAGAAATGCAGACAGATGAATTTCCCTGAACATTTAGGAATATGGTTTTGGCTTAGTGTACACCACTGTATACCATGCAAACAGATCACCTGGAGTCACAAGTTCTCCTAGGTGACCTCTGTCTGCATGAGTTACCATTCTTGATGACTTAAAGCTAGTTTTTACATGGATATTTGAATTCTGAAATCTCAAGAAGCATTTTCTTTATTCTGTTTAAAAAGACTTACAATGGACATGTACCATAGGGAAACTTGAAAAAAACTTGAAAAAGAAAAAAAATCATAGTGAACAGTCTAGATATCTCCATATTGGGAATATCTGAATGGGAAAAACAAAAGCAAAAAGAATCCTACTGAAAGAAAAAAAATAACCAAAACAAGAAAAACCCAAACGACAAGACCTTCACATTTCAGCCACACAAACATTCCACTCTTACCCAAATGTTCCACATTCTTTTTGATGTCTACATTTTTATTCATGCATGAAATTGCCCTCTTCCTTCTTCCTTTTGGAATATTTCTACTCAATACTCAAGACTCAGTTAAAATGCAGCCTCTTTGGTGAAGGCTCCAGGCTCCTCCATAAACACTTTGTGGACTATGCTACCACAGCATATTCTACATCTGTAAATTGTACTACTTACAGTGTATTGTAATTTTCAAAGTCTTTGTTCTGTTACCACCTCTATGATAGGGACTGTGAACTAGTCTTGATATCATGAGCACTAAGGAGAGTGCCTAATACTTAGCTGATGCTCAATGAATGAGAAAGGAAGGGAGGGAAAAATATAGGGTTGGAGGATCAGAAACTTAACTTGCTGTGATGATAAACCAAATTTAACTTCTATAGGGATCACCTATGAAAAGAACTTGACAGCATCTGGGCTGCTAGAAGAGGAGGGTATTGAGAAAACACAATTACTTACTACAGGTTATCCTTACCTAAAAGCTGTTCATACTTATAATAATAAAACCTGAATTCATTTCTGGAGCTTGTCTAATTATAGAGCCATCAAATTATTAACAATAAGTGGTAATTTCCAAGGCAAGATGTAATAGGTGGTCTCAAAGTATCTGTTTTCTAACACATAAGAATGAATAAACATTTATCTTCTGATATAAAGACAAAAGGCATTGAAAGCCCATTACTCTCAGTTTATACACACAGATACACACAAAACACAGCATTCAACAATTTTCTCTTCAAAATTGACCAAGATTTGGAGAATACAGATGGTAGAATGAAATTAAAGGTGTTCAAAATCATTCATTGTGTCAAAAATCACTAAATGATGACTTTGTACCTGGCAATAAAAAGTAGATGTAACACTTCCTCCTGCCCTGCCTCTGACTTGTACCTGGTCTATTGGAGGGACAGACTTATGACAAGTTCACACAGCAATGTGATGGACAGATGCTATGGCTGATGTCCATGGATGGGGCTCAACGAGGAGGAAGAATTCCTTCTCTTGGAGAGTCAAGAAAGTCATCTCAACAGAGGTGCCTATTAGTGAAGATTGAAAAGTGGAGTTCTCAGGGAAGCTGGGGAGACTGAAAGGGATGGGGCCTTCTCGGCACCAGGACAAATGAGCAGAGGTACAGCAGAATGACCCACGTGGGTCTTTCCAATAGTACCAGTCCGCTGGAGATAAGCTGGGTTTGCCAGTGAGAGCAACTTGTTAGTAGGAACATTGCTCAAAGCAGTAAGACATGCTTTAATTTGAGCAAATAAATAATAAAAGCATATTTGCATTTTACAATGGCAAAAGGAAAACTGGGGATGGTGAAAAAGTGGAGTGGGAAAGGAAAATTTTAAATCTTTTGTAACAGATGAAGGATGGTGATGCAGTGAACTAATGTGGTAGTACAGTGGGAATGAGGAGGAAAGAGATTTACAAGGGTTAGGAGTAAGTATTGAATATGTGATGGGTGATTTAAGAGACATTTAAGATTGGGGTTCTAAATCAATAGGATAATTTTTGTATTTCTGGTTTGGAAGATGGTATGAATAATGCTCCAGTTCACACAGATGGATAATACAGGGGGAATGAAGAGTGTGGAAATAAGGCAATAAGTGTCCTGAGTTTATGTTGCTTATGAGACATCCAGACGGAGATGCCTGGTGGACAGTCAGAGTTTCTGGGCATAACACTAAGAAGGGCAGTGCGATTTGGCCATAACGGACACTGGAGTTGCTAGCCTCCGGGGGCTGCAGGGTTGAATGAAATTGCCTGGGAACAGAATATAGAGAAAGAAGAAAAGAAGGTGATAGGGTTTGGCTTTGTGTCCACACTCAAATCTCACCTTGAATTGTAATAATCCCCATGTGCCATGAGAAGGACCTGCTGGGAAGTAATTGAATCTCGGGGGCAGGACTTTCCCATGCTGTTCTAGTAATAGTGAATAAGTCTCACGAGATCTGATGGTTTTATAAAGGGGAGTTCCCCTGCACATGTTCTCTCTTGCTTGCTGCTATGTTAGACACATCTTTGCTCTTCCTTCATCTTCCACCACAGTTGTGAAGCCTCCCCAGCCATGTGGAACTGTGAGTCCATTAAACCTCTTTCCTTTATAAATTACCCAGTCTCAGATATGTCTTTATTAGCGGCATGAGAACAGACTAATACAGAAGGCCACACGCCCAGCCTCAGGAGCAGAGTATGTACAGATAGGCAAAGTCAAGTGAGCAAATGAAGATACTACAAGACCTGGATTTATTAAAAGAACAAACCCAACGTTTGCCACATTCTAAGTTCAGTGGAATGATTTTGGAAGTCTCTTTTTGCTATAGAGAAACTCAAAATGTGTATGTGTGTTTTTTTTTTTCTTCCCCATAAAAGCAGTTTGGCAAAGAGGGAAAGCTGCTCATAAATATAAAAATACTCAGAAAAAAATAGAAACCCTAAATGAAATATAATGATCATGAAGACATTTTGGACAAAATGGAATGCACTGTGCACATGTATTTTAAGTAATACTATTTAAGTTTTAGTATTTGGGCATGGTAGAAAAAGAACCCTAACACTGACTGAGAAAAACATGATTTTAGCAGCAGGATCAACCTAAGCTTTCCTCTCACTCAGCTGCCTGGTAGCTATAAAAAGTACTATGCCAAATCACTGGCAGCGATGAACGTTGTTTTGAAAAAGAAAAAAGTTTTTTTCAAGTCAGATATTTTTATATGTACTAAGTTTAAAAGAAATTGCAATAACTTTTTATAAAGCTAAGCATTCTTTTGTAATAGGTGTAATAATTTTCTAACATGTTTTCTTTTAAAAGTCACACGATACCTATCAAGTCTCTGTCAAATGCACACATTTTTACACCTGATATAAATGTATTTCTGTTTCTACAGAGCATCAATAACTCATACAGCAAGTAAAACAGTCAATGATTCATACATATTTTTAAATTTGAATATAATCAACTGAAGTTTGACATTGTATGAAGACATTTTGTGTTCTGTAAGAGTAGGCAGAAATTTGGGAAGTCAAGTCCCTGAAGTACTAAAGACATAATTTCTAATTTCATCACAATGGTTCCTGATATTTCAGTCTTAACATTATTGAATGCAGTAGCTCTCAACCCAGGATACACAGCAAAATCACTTTGTGGACCTTTAAAATTACAGATATTCAGGCCCACCTGAACTTACTGATGTGAAACGGGTATTTCTACATCCTGAAAATTCCAGCATGTGACATCACACCGCCTCATTCTGAACTCCTATATTGTGTATTGCTGATTAACTTTCATAGGCAAAGGCATAATTTCCCCCACATAAGACTTTAACGGGGATTTTTTTTTCTGAAAAAAAAAAATTCTCATTGCTTATAGCATAGACATCATACCTAACATATATATTTATTGACTGTGTGGTTTTTAAACAATTTATTAAAACCAAATGAATCTATATAATGATGTGGTACCAGAGTGTTAGTTTTGGAGAAAAATTATATAACGTCCTAAATTGTTGACAAGGATAATCAAATTATTTAATGCTTTCATCTATTTTTGATGATTTGGTGTAATAAGAGTTTTGCAGATATGAAAAAGATTTTTTAATAGTTGTTATCTGTGCTGAAGTAAATGCATTATTAGCAGGAGACCTAATTTACATTCTAGATCAGAGAAAGCTGATAGTAGAACTTCCATATGCTCATGAGATTTAACTCTTAGATCTGTGTATTTCCCTTAATCCTATGTGAACTTTACGAACATACAAAAAACCCTTTTATGTATGTTAGAACCACTTGCCCTAAATGTAAATGGATTCTAAGGTAAAGTTACTAAAGAAAGTGACAAAATATTTGTAAGAATTTGTCTCATGAATAAAATATTACAACATGGTAGTGTTTTAGAAATAGAATAACGTGGGGGAAAAAAGTAGCCTTTGCTTTTCTGTAAAGCTTTCCTTTTATCTTAAGAAATATTTTTGTCCTTCATCCTCAAGAGCAACAATTGACACTGATTACTTAGCAACAGTATAAAGCCTGGCATGGTCAAGCTGTGATAATGGAACCATCAATGTAGTTATAATGTACTTAGGTCCTAAGGATAGCATTTGCAAATGAAACTGTGATCCAGGCTAAATCCTCTTCGCAAGTGTGGAAGGGTTAAGAGCAACTGAATAGAGCTCTTTAATACTGAAAGTCACAAGGTGAAAAAAAAAGGAGGATGAAGTTAAGAGTGAGATATGATCTTTAGAAAATTCTACAGATTGTTATCATGTAAAACCTATCACTTTATTATTTTTAATCCCCAATGGACATTGATAATGTGCAAATTTTTGTAACACTTTAAATATATGCATACACACACACACACACACACACAAACAAAAATGAAAGTTCCTCACAAGGCTGGATGCGGTGGCTCACACCTGTAATCCCAGCACTTTGGGAGGCCAAGGCGGGTGGATCGCTTGAGGTCAGTAGTTCAAGACCAGCCTGGCTAACAAGGCAAAACTCTGTTTCTACTAAAAATACAAAAATTAGACAGGTGTGGTGGTATGTACCTGTAGTCCTAGTTACTCAGGAGGCTGAGACAAAAGAATCACTTGAAGCCAGGAGACAGAGGTTGCAGTGAGCTGAGATCACACCACTGCACTCCAGCCTGGGTGACAGAGTAAGACTCTGTCTCAAAAAAAAAATAAAAAAAGAAAGGACGAAGTCTCTCAAATAGTGAAAAGAGATAGCTTGCTTTTTCTTTCTACAACCATGTTGGATATTGTATATATTCTGTTCATTTTTGTCAGTCTGATAATCAATACTTTCCATTTATTTGATCATTAGTGTGAAGTATTTTTTAAAAATATTTTTTTACCGTTATTCAGTATTACCTGATGCTGCTAGCTTTGCCTCATTTTCTATTGGATCGTTTAACTTTTTCTTATTTATTTATTTATTTATATCAAGGCTTTACATATTACAGCCATTAACTTTACCTGTTATTTATCATGCAGATAGTTTCTAACAGTCATATTTTTAACTTTAATATTACTTATAGTTACCTTGACTATGTCTCCCAAAAAAGCATGTGTTGAAAACTTAATTCTCAGTGCAACAATGTTGGGAGGTGGGGCCTAATGAGAGATGATTAGGCCGTGAGGGTGGAGTGAATGGATTAATGCTGTTATCTCAGACTTTATAAGGGTTTCTTATAAAAGGACAAGTTCAGCCCCCTTCTCTTTCTCTCTGTCTCTTTTTCTTTCCCTCTCAGTCCTTCTGCCATGGAATGACACAGCAAGAAAGCCTCACAAGATGCTGGCCCCTCAATTTTAGACTATCCAGCCTCCAGAACTGTGAGTCAATAAATTTCTGATCATTACAAATTAGCTAGTCTATGGTATTCTGTTTATAGCAAACACAAAACTGACTGAGACGGTTACTTTTATTTTTAGAAATTTCAAGTTTCAAGTTAGGTTTCTTGTGGTACTTAGGAAGGCCTTCCCTACTGAAAGTATATGAAACATCAGATCCTATATTTTCTTCTAGTACTTTTATAGTATTGTTTTTGAGGGGAGTATTGTAGGTCTTTAATCTAGGTCTCTCATTTTGGGTCTTTAATCCTTCTGGAAGTTATTTTATGTATAATTTTAAATAGGAATATAAGCTTTTTTTCCCAAATGGAAATGTGAACATAAAATATATTGAGGTAATTTATTATAAGCGTATTTATGAATGTGATAAATCACATTCTGCATAATGGTTTCTTAGGAAGAAAATAATGAATAGTATTCTTTATTCCCAGAATACTGTGTAAGGTATAAAAACAAACAATATGAATCTAACTTCACTGGGTAAACTCTTTTCCTCAAAAACAATTTCCAGAATATTTGTCACTTAAGTATTCAAATATAAGTACATGCTCTTTTTGAACACAAACACATACCCCAAAGCTTTTAAAATCAGATATAAATATATTCTTGGGTTATTTGACATTTGCCATTGTCTAAACCTCTCTTTTTCCTATTTATAAAGACAATCAAGTTGACAATATGAGATTTATTTCTAGTGCTCAGTTTGGAATTTGAGATTGTCTCAGGATTTCATCTTTGGTATTGCTTCCTGAGACTTCTTGCTTCTGACGTTGTAATCTAGTTTCCAACTGACTCACTTTTTTCAAACAAAGAATGCTAAGGTAAACATTTTTTACACATATGAATAATGCGATATAAAAAAGTGAGAATTATACATCTTCAAATCTCAGGTTCCTCAACCGATATTTAAGGATCTTAATGTCACGTCACAAGTCAAGGTGCAAATTAAATGAGAGGATATAGGAAAGAGTCCACTGCTGGGTCTTGTACCTAGTGACAGACAATAAATACTAATGCTTTTACCTTTTCCATTTCTCAAAAACACGTATATTATCAATGAGGCCAGAAGTATTTTTTTAGTTTTACCTTAATAAAAGGTAAAGGGAAAAATGTTAATAGCTAAAAATAATACAGAAAAGTTATGAATTTTTAAGTAAAAAATTATTTTTTGATGTTAGAATGTTAGAAAATAATAATATATATACATCAGAATTACAGATATTGAAGGGCTATGGTTATGGAGTCATGATTCTAAATTCAACCACTTAATAACTGCAGGTACTTGAGAAAAGTACTTAACCTAAGCTTTAGTTTTTGCTTTTTCTTCCATATATAAAGTTGTTGTTTTTTTGTTCCATATATAAAGTGGGCAATATAACAGCAATAATCTCACAGAAGTGATGTATAGATTAGATGAAATAATATCTATAAAACATACCTATTATACCAATGGTTGACACATCACAAGGTATCAGTACGTGTAAAGTATTATGATTTCAAATTGACCAAATATGTTTTCATATGTAATCAAGAGTGGATATCACATGTAATCAAGAGTGAAAAGATTGTTCTGGAAGAAATGTGGTAAGAAAAAAATACCACATTTTGTGAAGCTGCTGTAGTATAATACAAATAAATGTTTACCAAAAAAAAAAAAAAAATCTGGCTCTCCAAAGTTCCTTCTTCATGTAAGGATCTCCTCATCTTTTGCTTTACTTATGGCCCTCTCAAATGCCTATGTTGAAGCCCTAATCTCCAGTGTGATGGTATTCACAGGTGGGGCCTATGGAAGGTAATTAGGTTTCAATGAGGCCATGAAGGTAGGGCCCTTGTGATGGGATTAGTCCCTTTTAAGAAGAACAAGTGAGAGACAGAGCTCTTTTGCCCTGAGCACTCATCAAAGAAAGGTCATGGGAAGAGGTAGTGTACAGATATAGAATGAGAAGGCAGCCATCTGCATGCCAGGAAGAGAGCCCTCACCAGAACTCAACCATGCTGTCACCCTAATCTCAGACTTCCCGGCATGCAGAACTGTGAGAAATAAGTATCTTTTGTTTAGGCTACCTAGTCTATGGTATTTGCTGTGGTACCCCAAGCAGAATAAGATAGGAATTGGTACTGAGAAATAGGGTGCTGCTATAACAAATACTGAAAAAAATTTTGAAGCAGCTTTGGAACTAGGTAATGAATACAGGCTCATTTCAAGGTGCATGATAGAAAATGTCAGGGTTGCCATAAAGGGATTATTAAAGGTGATTCTGATGAGGACTCAGAAAGGAAAGAGAGAGCTGGAGAGAAAGCTTTCATCTGTTAGAGAATATGAAAATAATCATGTACAGAATGTTGGTAGAAATGTAAATGGTAAAAGCTGTTCTGAGGAGGTCTCAGATGGAAATGAGGAGTATCTTAGTGGACAATGAAGAAAAGGTGATCCTCATTATATGGAGGCAAGGAACATGGCTGAATTGTTTTTGTGTTCTAGTGTTTTGTGGAAGGCAGAACTTGGGAGTGAAAGTGTTGAAGGAGTGGCTTGGTTTCTCCTGACTGCTTCTAGCAAAACTCAAGAAGAGAGAAATGAATTGAAGAAGAAATTGTTAAGCAAAAAGGAACCAGAACTTAAACATTTGGAGAATTCTCGGCCTATCTGTATTGCAAAAAATGAGAAAGCATGTTCAGAAAAGAACAGTAAGGTTGTGACTGACTGACCGTTGGATACAAAGATTAGTAGAGTTGTGAACTATGGACCGAATCACCCACCCCAGTCGAAACATTGCCAGCTAGAACTGAAGGGGATGGAGGGAGATGGAATGGAAGGATGGCTGTCAGACTTCTTTGACTGTACAGGACATGGCAATAAAAATATTCAGCTACAAATTTGTACTATTTTTCAAGAAAAGGAAAGAATGGCCCCAAAGGCAATTCAGAGATCATCAGGGCCACTACCTCAGTTTCAACAGACCCAACAGTCTCTGGTCAAAGCCATGGGGCAGGGCTGCCTGGAGCCATGAGGGTGTAGTCCCTGCCCAGCAGAGCCATGGTATAGCCAGGGCTACCACAGAGAGCCACCGCTTGAGGGGTGGCTCCCTGAGCTGTGGAGACAATGTTGCCACCCTAGTGGGCCTGGAGGGTTGAGTATTAAACCAATGATTGTTCTCAATCCTTAGGATCTCATGGAATTTGCCTTGTTAAGTTTCAGGTTTATCTGGGACCCATTCTTCCTTTTGATTTTTCCCTTTTGGAATGAGAATGCCTGTACTATGCCTGTCCCACTATTGTGTTTTTGAAACACATGACTTACTAGTTTCACAGGTTTATAGCTGGAGAGGAATTCTGCTTCCAGAGGAATTGTACCTTGAGCCTCAACCATATCTGACATAGATGATATTTAGATGAGACTCTGGACTTTAGACTTAAAAGTTGATGCTGGAATAATTAAGACATTTGTCTTAACATTGTCAAGATGGAACAAATGTATTTTACATATGAGAAGGACACAAATTTTGTGGGGCCAGGGAAAGAATGCTATTGGTTCAATGCTCATGTCCCCCCACAAACAAATGTGTATGCTGAAGACCTAATCTTCAATGTGATGGTATTTGGAGGTAGGGCTTTTTGGAGGTAATTAGGTTTAGATGAGGTCCTGTGGATGGAGTGACCATGGTGGGGTTAGTGCCCTTGTAAGAAGATGAAGAGACCTCTCTCCCTCACTACCTTTGCCATATAGGACCCACCTACAAGGCAGCCCACACAAGATACCAAATCTTCTGGCAATTTGATCTTGGATTTCCCTACCTCCAGCATTGTGAGAAATACACATCAGTTGTTCAATCTACGGTATTTTATTATAGTCACTCGAGTTGATTGACATAAATAACTAACACTTAATAGTACTTATTGCATGTTTGGCACTGTTCTAAGTGTTTTAGTCCACTTGTTTTCCCAAGTCTTCCCAAGTTTTCTCACTGTTTCTGGTTTACTAATGGCATCCATCCAGGTTTCCAATGATGCAGTAGATTTGTTGTATGTGTGTAAGTTCAACAGTATTTTAGCAGGAGGGAAAAGAGTGAAACGTGTTGGCTTTCCTCAGCCACTTTGAATAGGAAGCAAAACACCCGAATGATTTTTCTAACACAAAACTGATAATGTCACCCCTCTACTGCAAGTCTGTTCTCGCAGTTTATGTCATGAGCCCAATACCTCCCAGTCTCTCCTCTCCTAACTTCTTTGCAGACTCCAAAACTGGCCCAGCTGCTACACCACCTTTGCCTTTTAATCTGCTATTCTTGCCTGTCTGCAATGCTGTGCTCTTTTTAGCCCACCTAATAGTCATATTCCCATACTGCAAGACCCAACCATGTAGTATGTTTATGAAGTATGTTATGCAGTATGCAGTTATGTAGTATGTTTATGAAGGAAGTTTGTGACATCTCCTCTAACTGCTCTCAGCCAAAGTGGAAGGCAATGTCATGCATTCTGTGCTTGCTGCATTCTTCTATTGTTGCATTCACTACTCTCTATTGAAATGATTTGTTTGCTTGCATCTCTTATCCATTAGTCATTGAGTTTACTTAAAAAGGGAACCATATCCTATTCATTTTTATATCTCTAGCATTTGGCAGAATGTCTCTAAAGCATGCATTCTCATTGGGGTTGATATCACTTTCAGTGTAGCAAAACTTGTTTCTTAAGAAGGCGTTGAAGAAATCTTAGCTCTTACAATGATTTGTGGCCCTCCAAAAGGCTGAAGTACAAACAAAAACAAATATATGATATATCTGAGGTATTGAAATTCCTGGGAAGAGAGCACTGAGTGGGGGAAAGTTTGGAAAAAGCTTCATAGGTGAAGATAATTTAAAAAACAGTTTGAGAAACATTGCTTTGAGATAAGCACTAAATCAAGGTTTATTTTTAGTTTTTGGATTTAGATAAGCACTAAGTCAAGGAAGAAATGGATTAATTCAAACTCTAGTCTGATACCTATTATTCCGGTGACTGCATAATCACTTAACTCCTTTTGATCTGATATCATACAAAGCTAGTGAATGATTAAAGCATATGACATATAGGAAAGCACTTTGTAAACTCGAAAGTATGTAAACAGCATACTCTTCCATGCTTTGAGACTATATGCCACCAGAATGCATTTCCTCTCTTTCTCTACCCAGCAAATTCCCATATATCCCTCAAGACAGAATTTTTCATGTTTTGTGAAGGATTTTCTGACCTCCTCAGGGAAAGCTGCTCTAGTCTCATAATATCTTTATATGTCTGTGTTCCTTACCTAGAGCATGAGATTTTTGAGCCCAGAGTTTGTGTCTTGTTCACAGTAGGTACTAAAACAAGAGTCAAATGAATTAAAAAAGCTGAGGTCATGCACTTGCATGTCTGTGATAAACAACCTCCCCAGTTCTGCAGTCACACAGAGTGACAATAAAGA
Source organism: Homo sapiens (assembly GCF_000001405.40). Taxonomy (NCBI): domain Eukaryota; kingdom Metazoa; phylum Chordata; class Mammalia; order Primates; family Hominidae; genus Homo; species Homo sapiens. Next base: position 41,303,834 of record NC_000012.12, on the reverse strand, counting down.
ATCTGCCCCCTAATGTATCCAGAACTCTGAGCATACTCAGATTTTAGCCAGTCTGAAAAAGCAAGAGCACATAATTGAAGGCAACCAGCCTTTGGTGGACATGTGGAAGCCTAGGTGCATGCCACAGGTCTGCAAGAATCTTTTCAATCACATGCTCGAATACTGACAGTATTGGCATTATTTTCAAGTAAGCAAGATGATGACAAATCAGACATAGCTCCTCCAACATTTAAATAAAACACAATATATATTGAGTGCTTAGCTAGATGAAGTCTTGTGGAAACCTAACTGAATGTGAGATTTCCAGAGGAAAGAGGCGAGTTCTTCAGTATTTTTATTTCTAAACATCATCTTTTATAATTAGATGTATGTAGCCTTTGGCCTATGCAGAGATGCAAAAGTTTTAGAATATGGTTCATAGATAGAGAAAACTTCTGCGAAGCCCGTAGGCATGAGATCATACATAACTGTGATCAAACCACAGGCTAGCTGGAAATCACCCTTAGGCACTTAGCTCAAAGGACTCAGGAGGGTTTTCTCTAAAAATCTCCTTTGTAATTATGCCACATCATATTTTGCCGAGGGCATGGTCTGACTGGTGGTTTTACTGATTTACTGGCCAACACTGACAACATTATAAAAATAGAAGGCTTGTAGTAATCATTGTAACTACTGTGGAGTCTCCCTGAAGACCGTCTTTATCCTGCCATGAGATCATGTGCTTCTAGTGGGTAATTCTTCAGATCATGTGTGCCACGGCTCACTGACTCCACTCTATCAGTACTAGGGCCAGTATTATGGACTAAACACTTGTAGCTTTTAGATTTTCAACACAAGAGTGTCTGAGTAGTGTATGTTTGTGTGTGTGTGAGTGTGTGTGTGTGTGTGTGTGTGTGTGTATTTTATATATATATATGAAATCAGGACAGGACTAAAATAGTATTCTCCTGGACAGAAAAATTTATAATGTGATTTACCCTTTAGGGTACCCTTAGATTCTAAGGTTCACTTAGATTAGGTACATCTCATGTCATCCATTATGGATGGGGGAGGAGTGCAAAATTAACAATTGATAAACTAAGAGTTATAAAAAATGACATACAGAAAACATTTCTACAAGGCTGTGACATCTCATTGAATAAATGAAGAATTTTTAACAATATAAAGAAACTTCCCAAAACGCACTGTGCAAATTCAGCATGAATGAAACAATTTAACTTCCTTTCCGGATTATGAATCTGATTCTATTACCCACTCCCTAGAGAACAATTTAAGTGTCTATGAGAGGTATATAAAGAGCATGTGGTTCTCAATAGTATCCTTACATCTTTAATCCTGTACATCATTATATCTTAAGAAAAATTCTGCACACAAAACATCCTGGAAATATCACTTGATGTTGTATTTTAAAAACTGGGGTGTACACCCCTTCCCTTGGATATACTTTGGTGAACAAAATGCACAAGAAGCTACAATATCAATATTATCTTTTGGAGTGGACAGTTTCATTTTAACAAGTGGTGATTGTGGCTATATGATTTTAATAATAAAATATATAATAATGTAGAAATACAAAAGTACACAAATTTTTAAGATTAAACAAACTTCAAAGAAATGTTATATTTGAGGTCAGTCTAAATATTCTGAGTAGTTCTGTATGTATGTACATACAAAAATATACACACATATAAACATCTATATACACACATGTGTGTATGCATATGCACATATATAATCAGACACATATACACACAAGCATACACACATACACAAATGTTATATGAAATATTCTATTAATGTTATAATTGAAAACAGAGGAGAAAAGCTTATTTAACCAATACTATATTATGGACTTGGGATGGATATTTAAAATGCTTTATCTCATATAATGACATCAACAGATTTGAAAATTAATACTAGGTCACTTTCAGAGATGAGACATGTGAGATTCAAGAAGGCAAAATAACTTGCCTGAGACCACATGGCTAAAATTATGAGGGTTTGATCTCAAATCTAGAATTGTGAGACTCAAGCAAATCCCAGGCTCTTTCCATCCGTATTTTGGTGCCAGGCATCCTGATACCTAAATTCTGCCAGCCACTAACTAACCTTGTTTTCTCTTGCTATGCCACAGTGAAAAGGAAAAAAAAAGTTGTTTGGAAAGCATTGCTTATAAAATAGCTGTTAGATTTAGCATTATCTTTTTTGGGGGGTTATAATATGTAGTATGATTAACTGCAATAAGCTCTTGAATTTAGTGAGATATTAAAAACTTCTGAATTATGTACAGGAAGACATAGAATCCCAATAATGTGACTTCATTCTTCTATAAGGATTATATCCTTATGTCTTATCCTTATATCCTTATATCTTATGTAAAGATCATGAAATCTGTTCATAGTCATATTTCATTTGCTACATACCTAAAATAGAAACAACAGTCCTCATCATGGCAATAATACAGTTATTCCACTGTTCTGCAGAATAACAAAGGGAATTTTCAAATATTGAAAATTTGAGAAAAGCTAAATGTATTAAATGTAAAACACTAGAAATCCTCACAGTGCGTATCTGGAAGAAAAGAATATATTCAAATGGGCATGATGTCTGTCTGTGTTTCCTTTCTCATCGTTTCTGCCTCTTCCCCCATCCCCCTTTGAAAGCAAACAGCCAAATATTCACAATAACCTAAAGAGTGTATGAGTTTGGGGATATTTCCCAGCAATCATCTATAAGCTAATAACTGTCAAAGGACAGAGATGATATCAAAAATAAGGTCAACATTTAGAATTGGAAACAAAAATAATCTATAATGATAAGAAATTCCCCTTATAGATAATCCAGTACTTTAAAAATAACAACAACCCCTTTCACCTTGGCTGCTTTCCTGCAGATAAACAGAAGCCATAACACAGAACTCCTGTTTTGATAACCTTGATCTCTTGAGTCCACTGTCATTTCAAGTTCTGGGTCTAGAAAGACATATTTATTTTCCCTGAAGCTTTCCATAAAACACAAGGAAGTCTTAGAAGATATAATAGCTCTGAAAAATCACAAAGTTATATTGTAAAACTACAGAAAGTTTTCATAATGATCTCTGGGTACAGCTGACCAGTATGTGAAAGGCCCTAGGGATATTTGACAAATATCTTATGGATATAATAGGGAGAACACTTGAGGTTTTTATTTCCTTAATGTACACATATCCTGAGGCCGAATGAGTATCTTTATTAGAGGTCATTTCTCAAAGAAGAGATAATGACCACAAGGGAAAAAATAAAACCTACATATTATGAAATATTTCTAATATGTGTTTGATTTTAATTGGGCACATTTCTGGGTGTGCCAGACAGTTTATTAAACTGTTTCACATAAAAATGTTATACATATATATCTCAAAATATAATTAAGAGTTATTTTAGTTCTGTTATTTAATATCTGTATTTGAAACATTATTGAACTGTGATTCAGGAAAACTGTGTTAATTGTAGTACTAAATTTATCAGGAGTTGGGACTTTGGCATATCACTTACTGACATAGTACATTTGTTTTCAAAAACAAAGTTGCATAATTATAAATACACTTATTTCAGAAGATTTTTGGAAGACAAAAGTAAATGTATATTAAAAGAGTAGCTAAAAGAGCTATGCAAAAGCAATGTAACACTGCTATCATTGTTACATAGTATTTTCCGTTTTAGAATGTACTTATCAGTAATATATACCTAAAGATGACATAACAATATACATTATATAAAATATGACACAAATAAATACATCTATACATTCATAAATATTGTAAGATTTATCTTGGAATAATACTGGTAGAAGACACTCAGAGATCAAAATAGATAAACAGTTGAATAAAGATATATGCACTAAGTCTATTTTTAATAGGGGATGGTGACATGCATGTATTTTTGAAAGAAACTTTGTTCATGAAAGCATCATAAAATAGTATTATCTATCAACTGTTATTGCAGTACAAAGATAAAAAATAACTTGTGTAATATCTTAATATATAAATATACTTAAATGGCTTTTAGTGACTGAAATTGCTGAGTCTGTTCTTGTGAAACACAAATACACAGTGAAATATGCTTTGAAAACTAACTCAATTTTATAAAGTAAAAACATAGTAGGATTATTTACAGTTGTTTCCCATAAAATTAAATTAAAATAATTTTATTACCTGAACAACTACTCTGAAAGTTTTACTCTAGAAGAACGAGCAGATAAAAGGGAATAGCAATTTTGTCTCTGAACAGTGTCACTATAAATATTATAAGGGTGTCATCTAAGCCTAAAAAAACAGGGGATTATAAAATAAATGAATTCTGGGCAAGAAAATAGCTAGCATCAACTTGGATGTGAACTCAGAACCAATAATTAAAATAAACTACACACAAATTGTGCGTCCAACAGAAGCATTCTGAGATTCAAGAAATCTTGATGATTTAATTGGATTACAAAAGAGAGGAAAAATCTAACTCTACTCATTGAGAAAGAGTGTCCAGACCAAGGCTTAATTGCAGAAACTTTTAATTTCTGTCTCTCTCTCTCTCTCTCATTTTACTCTCTGAAACCAAAAACAAGAACATTTCAGAGAAAGTTTTTGACTGATTATTTTTAGGGCTTAAAGCAGCTCGAGAAAATGGCCAGCTCTCTTTATTTTTAATAATTATTTGCCCTAGAATGTTGTAAAATGAAGAATTCCTCCAAGAACCTAGGCTCACTGCCTGCTTATTGCTCTAACTGAAGAATGCATGGAGCAACTCTTGCATTAGTGTCTGAGACAGCACTCTGTGGATGACATCAGAAAAAAAGGGCCACAGAATAATAGGAATTAGAAAACAAGGCCAAAGGGGGATGCAGTGATCACACAACAGATTGTTGGGGCTCTAACAGCAATGAGAGAGTGAATCCTTAGAGAACTGATCACCACTAAACCACTTTAAAGTGTAGAAGGGGTATATGTTGCTTTCTCAAAGAAAAAGAATATTCTCCCCAAATCTTATTAATCAATAAATAATAGAAATTCAAATGTTAATTATAATCTAGAACATTTATATTTCTTTCTAGGAGATACTGTACTGTTCTATTTCACCTGTTTGGCTCATTTAATGGTATTGGAAGTGTTAATGGTATCAGAACTAATTTAAAATAAGCTTCAGCAAATAGGCCTTAATTTATACATTGAACTTCATTCTAATTTATATCCTAGCTCCATTAGACAGCTTTTCTCATCCAATCCAAATCAGGTAATTTATAAAGAAATTTACCACAGAAAGCATATCATTTTTAAAAATTCATAAAACAAATAAAATGAAACCTAAAAATCTGTACACTAGTATCACAGGGGATGAAGTATATGCAGATATCTAAAAACAAAAAGCAAATTTGACTGGCAACGCAGCTTTGGTATCGTTAAGTCTTCAGATTTATTAATGCAGGATTATTCAACCAGAATAGCACATTCTCAGCCTGGAAAACAGGGAAAGAATGTATAACATACAAATAGCAAAATGTGAGAATATGCAAAAATAATCTTCAAGCACTACAAATTATCACTGGGAGTAATTTCGAAGTTCAATTCTTAAAATATATTTGACCTATATATTAACATATATATTAAGAACTGTTAATAGTATTTTCCCTGGGGTAAGATTATTGGGAATTTTAATTTCTGACATTGTTTCTATAATATAAAAATGATCATTAAAGATTAAAACATAGGTTTAGACTAGAAAATATAAATTGGTTTCTGTATTCTGTAGGACAGACTAGGAATGGAGTCTGAAAGGGATAATGGAAAAACAGTTACAAATTTACTTTGGGAGATTTCAAAGCTGTCACTGTGTTAATACAGCACTAAGTCTAAAACAGGGGATTCTCTAGGTTGCTTAGAAATTGTTTTAATCGATCTTCCTCTCCATTCTGGATTCTTGTGTCTCTTAGAGGATGACTATAATTAAATATCACATTTTCTTTTTTAGCCTAATAGTCAGTTTGGTTAATTTTTTGTGTTCTTTTACCCCAACTAAATGACTGAGTGCTTGAGAATCACATGGACAAGGGCTTAGGGCACAAGTTATAGAGAGCTGTTTTCCACTGGGGTTGGCTGGAGAAGGAAGAGGAAGGAAAGATTCTCCCCTTTCCACTGAAGAGGAATATTTTATATGTCCCTCCAGTGGCACTTGGTAAACAGGCTACATCTTAACGAACCATTTTTCAATGTCCTAGCACCTTTTAGGCCAGCCAGCACTAGTTTACTGTCTGCCCTCAATTTTAATGGTGTCAGAACTAGTTCAAAATAAGATTCAGAGAACAGGCCTTAGTTTATACATGAGCTTGTAAAAAGTCACAGCACCAGTGAAAGCACTCCTGTGGACACATAGTGAAGCTGGGGTCAGGGACAGGACCAGGGCCAGAACTAGGGCCTTTGAAATACATTATCCCCTGGGTTAAAGATTTCATTTGTTCTATCAGATTTTAAAAAATTTATTTTAGTCCAATGTTATTGTCTCTGTCCTATTTAAAATTAAAATATCCTAGTATTATAATTAAATGTTTTTTTCCTTACATTCCATCAACTGCTCAAAAGTATGATATATTTTGGTTTGTTATACAAGGGGACTTCAAAAAGTTTGTGGAAAATGGAATTAAAAGATGAAAATTAAAAAACAGAAATTTTACTTCTCAACATAAACTCCATCAAGTTCGGGACACATTTATAAGTGATGTTACCAGCCGTTTAGTTCATCCCTAAGAAACTGAACATCCTGGGAATTCAACCACATCAGTGTAGTCTTTTTTACACTATTAACTGAAGAAAAATTGATGCCCTTTACAGATTTTGTTTTTGTTTTTGTTTTTTGAGTCAGGGTCTTGCTCTCTTGCCCAGGCTGGAGTGCAGTGGCATGATCATGGCTCACTGCAGTGTCAACCTCCTGGGCTCAAGTGATCCTCCCACCTCAGCCTCCTGGTAGCTAGGACTACAGGCACACGCCACATGACTGGCTAATTTTTGTATTTTTTGTAGAGATAAGGTCTTGCCATGTTGCCCAGGCTGGTTTCGAATTCCTGAGCTCAAGTGATCCTCCTGTCTCAGCCTCCCAAGTTGCTGGGATTACAGGTGTAAGCCACCATGCCCAGCCTTACAGATTTTTTAATATTAGAAAATAAAAAGAAGGAAGAGGAGCCAAATCATGACTGTGAGGTGGATGCCTAATGATTTCCTATCAAAACTCTTGAAAAATTGCCCTTTGTTGATGAAAGCAATGAGCAGGAATATTGTCATGGTAGAGAAGGATTCTCTAGGAAAGAGGAAAGCTTTCTTGGGAATTTTTCTGTTAAACTTTCATCTAACTTTCTCAAAGTACCTTTATAATAAGAAGAAGTTACTGTTCTTTGACCCTTCATAAAGTCAACAAGCCAAATGCCTTGAGCAGCCCCCAAAAATGTTGCCAAGAAATTTGTTCTTGACCTGTCTACTTTTGCTTTGGCTGGACCACAGCCACCTCTTGGTAGCCATTGCTTTGATTGTGCTTTGTCTTCAGAATTGCATTGGTAAAGCCATGTTTCATTTCCTGTTACAGTTCTTTAATGAAATCCTTTAGAATCTTGATCCCACTTGTTTAAAATTTCTGTTGAAAGCTCTGCTCTTGTCTGCAGCTGATCTGGGTGCAACAATTTTGACACTCATCAGGTGGAAAATTTGCTCAACTTTTTTTAGCCAGAGTTGCATAAGCTGACCTAGTTGAGATGTCTATGGTATGGGCTATTGTTTCTGCTTTTAACCATAGATCCTTTTCAATTATGGCACAAGCAAGATGAAATTTTTCCTCAAAAAATTTAATTTTTGAGGAAATGGATGGTCTGTGCCTGCAGGCTTCATCTTCAACATTATCTCATCTGTTTTGAAAAAAAGTTATCCATTTGTAAACTGCTGATTTATTTGGGGCATTGTCCCCATAAACTTTTTGCAAAGCATCCATAATTTCACCATTCTTCCACCCAAGCTTTACCGTACATTTGATGTTTGTTTTTGCTTCAATTTCAGTAGAATTCGTGCTGCTCTGATAGGGTCTCTTTTGAAACTGATGTCTTACCCTTCATAGTACCTCAAACTAGATCCTGTTCAGACATGTTATATCACATTCATATGAGCTTATTTTGTGGCCAAAAATTTTGAAATCCATCCATAATTTTTTCATAATACAGATTTTCCAAGAACTTTTTGAAGATCCCTCTCATATTTAGGCCATTATTTTCTTATGGAGTTTTTGACTGTTTAATTTTGGTGAGGGGGTGATATAGGGATAGTGCATTTCTGTGTATTTGTTCTTTTTCTGACTTTCCTAATTACCTTTCTTTTGTCCTGCAGAGAAAAAAAAATGCCTTCAAAATTAACAATTTCTAGCTTCTTAGTAATTTTATCTTTGAGTTAAATCAATTTATATTTTCTTTGTTTTACATTTTCTGAAATTGGGGACTATTTTTGATTTGATGACAATATGGGAACTCTTTGTAATTGACCTCAATGAATTGTTTCCAGTGTTTCCTGTATCTCAAATCCTTTTTTTAATTTTCATGATGGTTTGGCCAGAGTACACCTTCAGGTGACTTCTTCACAAAGGGTGAGTAGAAGATAAACTTCTGAAGTTCTTGAATTTCTGAAATTGTCTTTATTTTGACCTTATCATTTAAAGACATCTTGACTGGGTATGGAATTCCAGTTTGAAACATTACCTCTCAAAATTTGAAAGGATTGCTCCATTGTCTCTGCTGTGGTACTGATGAGAAATCAGAGCTACTGCGATTTTTTTTTTTACATGTCTATGACCACATTTCCCTTTCTAGAAAACTTTGGGCTCTTTGAAGAAGATTCATGTCTCTATTCAGCTCTATGAAATTTTCTTTGTTCATTTACTTGATAATTTCCCCCATTTTCTAATTTTTCTCCTTTTAGAATTTATGATAAGGATATTTAGCCTCCTGAGTTGTTCTTCTATGTTTTTCTGTTGAAAAGATCTCTTAGATCTCTTAAACCTTATCTTCCAGATTTACAATAGGACTTTAGAAAATTGTTTTTGTAATCCTGTTTATAGTATGCAAAGCTCTGCCTTAATTTCTAAGTATTTTCATGATGAAATGTGATTCGTTGAGCTCAGGTATAAAGAGGTAATATTTAAGGTAATAGAGTTGTAATCTATTCTATTTTAATAAAGAAACTTAGTTTCAAAGTACTCTCTTTGTTATACTATTTTAAGTAAAATAATTTTAAATGTTAAATATTTAAAATGAATGAATTCCCTTCCCTCATTTAAGAGTCTTCATAAAGTCCTCGCAGTTTTCACACTGTTCTTCTTATATTTTTATCCATTGAAATCAACCTTGTCATTTATAGTTCATATAAAATTATTAGTAGAAATTAATCTCTTCTTAAGAAAGAGGCAAGTCAGTGTGCTAAATTCAAATTTTGTTCTACAGTACTTAGTTTCATACACATAATAATATTGGGAAGTATATTTTACAGGTGAGAAACAGCCTGTGAGATGGCAAGTGACTTGCACAACGAGGGTGTTAAAGGCAGGACTTGCACCCAGGTCTGCCTGACTTTGAAAGTTCATGCATCTCCCATAACACTACACTGCAAAGAGAAGGGGACATTTCAATGGCATGAAAGTTTAAGGTGAATATTTTGCCTGTGAAACACGTACTCTTGTGATACAAACAAACAAACTATAGAGGAAAAAAAGAAACAAAAACAAAAACCCCACAACAACATAACTATAAAACTCTGAGCCTATTTATGCAAACATCTTCAAATTAATCCAAGCAACCCTATTGTTTATTGAATGCCATGTCTTTGTAGAATACTTATGAAAAGAGAAGACAGATTCTTGCTTATTTGTAATGGTCATATTTTCCAGCTTTGATATTTAGCATTAGAAACTTGTTTTATTGGCTTTATTTTGCAGTACTGTATCATTCTCCATGACATCTAGAATGAATAATTAAACAGGTAACTGTGAAACACTACAGAAATTAATTTTAAGAGGACAAATGGGATCAGGGAACACAGCATACACTGCATTTTACTGAAAACACCTTCAGCCATTACACTAAATAATCCATGTCACATCCTCTGGTAATTTCCAGGGTGATTTCCTTTTGCCAGGATGAGTTATTTCTGCCTCTACTTGGAGTACAACATACCAGGGATATGCATTAATGGTGAGTTTGCTTTTTCGAAACAGGAGGAGAACAGTTAAAGATTCTAAGGAAATCTGCCAAACTGCTGGCACTTTGCTCTGACATTCATTCTTAATACTGGCAGAGAGAGTTGGGGCCACTGGCTTTATGGCTATTTAGGTGATGACTCTTGACAGAGCAGGAGCGCAGGTAGTAGGGGAGAGCCAGAAAAGGATGGAGTGGGGAAGGAGCTAGCTCAGTCACTTGAGTGGAGAGAGCTAAGCTTTATAGAGGCTATGGCAGATACGATGCTACATGTGTGTCCATATTTTTTTCCTCGTCAGCACCAGGGAAATTACATTGCCTAGGACAATTAATTACGTGTCCTCTACCCACATTCCACCAGCCAGAAGTTAGTCATAGAGCCCCACCTTGCATTGAGGTGGGGCTTCAATGACTAACTTCTGGCTGGTGGAATGTGGGTATAAGACACAAATACTTTTTTTAGAACTGGCCATAAAATAACCATAAAATAACCTGAGTGACCTGTTCTCCAGCGTCCCTCCTATCTCCCTTTCACTTCCAGCCTACCCAGAGTGAGCAGCCAGAAGCAAGGTGCGCGTGCCTCCAAGATGTTAGTGGAGCCACAGCATGCAAGGACCCCAGAATTCCTAGCCGTATCTCAGAAAAGAGCCTCCTAAGAGAGCTGCCTGACCAGAAACATTCACATTGGTCTTTTCATAATAGTGAGGATTTGGAGTTGTTTATTAAAACCCTTAGCCAATTTTGTCAATATAGAGTCTAAAACATTACTCATAATGGTGTGATGCACAACTCTCTGGGACATAGTTTCCAAGTTTGCTGAATCTTACTAAAGTGAACGTTCTTCTCCAAATTCCTTAGAGAATGAAGACAACAGATTAGCAGCATGCTTCAGCATACTTAGAATGTCATTTTAAAGACTAAAAAGAAGTCTCATGCTACCAGGCATGGCCAAGATAATATCATGCGTACTTAAAAAGTGAATAAATATCTGGGCTATCTGGGGTTCCAGACACTAATTCTACCCAAACGAGTGGCAAAAGGAAGCACAAACCCAGTCAAAGGGGGGTCCTGAAATGTAAGGATCAAATCAAGAAAAAACCTCAAATGGTAACTTCAAAAACACAATGAAATTTGTAAGTGAACATTTCTTACAGGGCCCTTTTACTGCCTTCTCTGACCTCTGCACCTTTGCCATTTTTTCTCTTGGTCTGCACTTCCTGCACACATGTGCTCTCCAGCAACATGAAACCAGCTCTTCCTACAAATAATGATCCTTAGAAGGCCAAGATCTGGAACGGTATTCTCCCCTTTCATAAAGATTTTTGAGCCTTGTGATGGGAATGAACAACTCTCTCTAGCTGTTTGCTTAAACCTGTTGTTCTTCCCATTTTCCTCAGTCCTTCTGTTCACTGCAATTTATAACTTCATAGTTGTAAATATGGATTACATCTCTTTCTTGCCTAAGAACTATTATGCCTGACCCACTTTTTTCTCTAACGCCTGCTACTCATGCTTTGTTTGTTGCTTGTGTGCCTGATGATTAATTGATTCACCTCTGATGAAGACTGCCAAACACAACCTGGGTGGATGCAGATCCTTTAGCCTGTTTTCCCAATGCTAGTATATTTCCAGTTATCCTGGTCCTGCCTTCCTCCCAGTTTGGTACTCAGGGTTCCTGTGCTGAGACTCCTAGTAAGGTTGCATCTCATGTACCAGGTTTGAGGTAATGGGGTGCCTCCTTGGAAATGAAATGACTACATTAGGGGGTCTCTATGGAGAAGAATAACTGCAGGATTTGCCCACCCTGCCATAGATCCTCCTCATGGTGTTTCCAAAGCTGTCTTATTTCCTTCATAATCTTATTCTCTTCACAACCCCTGTTCATAAAACTTGAGCATATGAGGAGAACAAACCAAGACTCACATAGTTCTGGCCTCACTCAATAACTATAAACATTACCTGTCTATAGTGTATTGAGCACCTACTGTGTTTAAGGGCTACTCTTGGCTTTGGGAGGCTTAGGATGAATAATGATTTTATGACATGTAAATAAAGAATAATAATATTTATTGAGTACTTTCAAATTTTCCAGAAACTCTGAAAGTCATTATTCCCAATTTGCCGATAATAAAACAGATTCAGAGAGTTTAAGTATATATAGAAGTTTATATAGCCACTAAATAAGAAATTAGGGGTAAAACTGAATTCTGGCTACATCCAAGAAATGCTACCATGCTCACGAAGGCCTTCACCTAAGCAAATTTAAGGTAAGGTTATGACTTTCTTGGCCCTTCCATTTAAATCTTATGCTTCAGAAACACTTTTTATTAGAACAAATAATAGTGTTTCTGATCACTAATATCTCAGAAATTATTCAACACTTTCAGTGATCATAATGTTCCTAGAAACCAAGTAAAATAAAATTTTTATATCTTTTTATTATATCTGTGCAAAAAGTACATATAATCTAATGGATAACATAATTCAGACATCTTGAAAGTGTTTTATAAGTTCCATCTTAGAATTTACATTACCCAAGATTAATTGTAGCATTTTTTTTTAAAAAGCAACTTTGGAAGCAAACAAAATAGATCCTACATCTTTAAAAAGGAGGCTTTCATTCTCTCATTTAAATGTATGCTTTGTTCAATTTAGAAAGAGATAAATATAGGATTCAAAGAATGTTTAAGGAAATGAATCAAATTACTTAGACATAGAAAATTGTAAATTTTTGTAAATGAATATGAAAAATTTGAAACTTCTAAAGGGGGTATTCATGGCAGACCCAGGAAAGGTAATAAATACCTCATTAGACCATGAAAAATGACCGGTTATTCCTTCTCCAAAAGATTGTTGAATACCTATTTTTCTGAGAGTAGGGTAAATATATGAAATTATACCTCATAGATTTAGTCATGGTCTATTTCAGAATTATTATTCTATGAAAGCTCATTAAGAAATATCAATACTAGATTTTGTATTTTTCTAGATCTTTCTTCCAAGTTGAAGTGTTTGTATATATATATCAGAATGTGTGTGCTCTAGAACACCTATGTATGAAGATGTATAATTTTCCTGAAGGGTGATTTTTTTTCACATATGTGAAGGAATTTTCTGTTTCTTTTACATTTTCCTAAATAAAATGGCAAAAAGGAATTTCCTGGAAAATGCGATAAATCAATGACCTATTAACTTTTCTTTTAAAGTGTATTCCACAGAGCAACCAGCTTCAGAATTTCTATTTTCCAAACAAAAGATGTTTTGAATCAAAGAATTTTTTAAAAGCCTTCACTCAATGAGGTATAAAATTCCCTATTAAACATATTTGATATTTTGCTTTGAAAGTTTTTTATTAAAAATCTGTCTTCCCTAAGTAGAAACAATGCATGTTAGCCAACCACAGTACTTTAAATCATCTTTCATCTGAGCTTATGGTAGGGATGCTAAGAGGATTCTGTTCCAAAGCACAATGGATCTCAAGCATCAAATAAATCTCCAACTACACATGAACCTAAAGGAAAGGCCCACCACCAGTACTTCCTATGTACACAGTGGCTTCTCACAAATCAGTAGATAGCCTTAAGCTTATATATTTGATGGCATGCCCTACTTGCTGTCAAAATTTCCAAGGCTTTCATAACAATTACTGGAGATCCACTATGCAGTCAGAATTCCACTTTCTTCTTTAGGGTACACTCACAAAGCAAATGGAAGAGGTAAGTTAATGGCAAAGAACTTTGCACCGCTATTTTCTTCACTATCCCCAATCTGGAGATAAACAGAAGGCATCTGTCTTTGAAATTGCTGTCACCATAGTGCTTCATGATTTCCTAATCTGTATATTGGACTGCAGCAATCTCTTCTGTGGGGCCAGCTCAGAGGACCCACTGGGGCAGAACAGAGGCCACACACAAGCCATTTGAAATGCGTGAAAGCATGCCGTGCCTTGCAAGCTGCACTGGTTACATATTTACTTCAAAATGAAGTCAAGTTGATGTGGTCCAAAAGGCCCTCTATTACATAAATTCTAGTTTCCTTAGAAATTGACCATCTTCATGCAGCTCAGCTGTTGTGCTGCTGCTAATAGTCCCTGCATTTATATTTCAGGGACATGAAGGAGCAGTGAGCCTGAACTGTTATTTCCCACCTGTTTCAATCCATATATTTTTCTGGACTAGTTCAGAGTCTTTTGTATGAAAATCACATCTCCACCCATATTGGTTAATACACCAGTGGATTAAAATGTACTATTATTATAGTTTTATGACTCTAATTAGTTTGAATGTTTAAAATGAGCTTAAGTTATAAGTCATACTATTACATTGCAGTAAAAAGTACTGTGTGGATGCATCAAATCACTGTTTTCTTAACTGTTCGTGGATGAGCATGAACTTAATATATGGATACTTAGTTCAAGACAGCAGAGGGTTGGGAAGCAATCTTATGCATCAAAAAGAAAGGGCTGAAGTTTTGTTCAGAATTCATTTACACAGTTGTAACATAATAAAATAATGCCAAAATGAAATATCCATCTCACCTCCTTCAGAGCAGCTGTTGTTTTCCATCTAGTATTTCTGATAATTTTTTTTCAGATCTTTGTTACCATAGGAGAAAATTGTAATGTGTTAAAATTTCAGGTGTGTATTCTCAGCCAAAAGAGTGATTTAAAATGGGGCCTTGTCAACATATGTATAAACCATTATGCCTGCTGTTATCCTAGGAAAAATTAATACATACAGAAGGCTTGGATAGTTTAACAAAGTTTATATAAACATAATTCTTTAAATCCTACACAATCAATTTAAATTCGCTACTAATGAGGCTGGGTTGCTACCATTTGAAATAAATGAGGTCATGGTGAACCGACGGCCATTGTAGTACCAAGAAAAGCAGTTCCTAGAAAGGTATCCGTATTTTTAAGAGGATAAAATAACAACAGTGAGGATTTATTGATTTCTCATCCATGCAAAGATAACTAAGAGTCAGGGTGAAGCCATTTCGAGCAGTTTCACAGTATTACAGAACGACTTCTATTTTTTAAAGAAACACTGCACCATATTGCAAATAGAGATACAAAGAAGAACTACAGTTCCAATTAGGACAAAATCAGCCACTCCAGGCAATAAAACAACAGGAGGCATCACAATATTGATACCTGAGAAATACTGCCACTTGTTATCTAACCATATCACTCACTCAAAACATTACCCAGGAGAATCGGAGCCAGTCTAAACACTTCAGAAACCATCCAGAGCCGTATGGCATACTATTCTTTCAGACCTCAGGAGTAAAAGTTAGCCAGGGCCTACTGACATACTAAAATGATTTATTATCACAGGGCTGAACTAATGCATTCTGCTTTACAACTCTCCCAGCAGTCCAGGGGAGAGGCTGCGTTTATTACCTACAGTACATAATGCCCGCTGAAGAGCTCTGTATTACTCATAAGACTGCCTTTTTTGTGCCATCATAATGCTGATAAATTATGAAAAAATGCATATTTTATTTCAATTTGTAACATATTGTTGTATACACATCAATACATCACGTTGCAGCAGGCGGAGCAAGTATTATTGCTGACAGCTGTTAACATGCTTCAATAAAGCCCAAACAAAGGGGCTTCACTGATAATCCTAAGTCACAACTAGCATTCCAAACAAAAGGCCACTTCTTTCTCTCATAATATTTAGAGGAGATTTGAAGAAATGTCAGTGCTACATAAGGGAGAAACTTTGGTGACAGTCCTGGAAAATATGTTTAATTTTCTACCCAAATTCACTGAAGGGGGTTGGGGAGTTTACACTAAACAGTAAGGCTTCTGTCCAAACTGCAGATCCTCAAGTAAAGAACAGGAAGTCTAATTTATGAAAGAAGAGTTCTTTTCAGAGTTTTCTATTTGATTAGGTTGCTTTCTCTTTCTTTTCTTGCCTCAGATGGTGAAGTGCCTAACTCTAAAAACACACTCTGAGCAGAAGGTCCTAAAAGAAGGCAAGAGATTTTCTATGAACTCTGACTTCCTCTGCAGTTTGCAGTTCTGCAAGTTATTTTCACATTAAAGTAGTCAAACTGCATAGAGAAATGATATTTGGATCTTTGCAAACAAATTTAGTAATTTCCTATTTTAACACCATATACAAAGGAATAGTTTAAATGTAACGAATGAAAGCTAATTTGGGTAGAATTGATACTTTTAATAAGGGCAAGTTTCTTTTAGACACCAAGAATTCACTTGATACAATTTTGAGCTAGAAAGGATCTTAGAGTTCATCTATTTAGCTAGTTCATTTTACAAGTTAGAAATCTGAGCTCATGAAGTCTTCTCTAGGCTATGCCTCTAGCAGAACCATGACTATGGCTGTAGCAGAACCATGATTAGAACTCAGGTTTGTCTGTTTCTAACTTAGTCTTTCTGTTACTCCAAGTGAACTTTCTGGAGTTTAAATTGCAGTTTTATATAGAAGATTTTTGAATGATTTAAATAATGCTTGGAGACAATGATCTATTTCTGCACATCACTACATCAAAAGATGTTGCTGGCTGGGGTCCTCTGCGGACATTAGTTAGAATGAGAAGGCTACAAAAGCTACCTTGATGTGTTTTTATGTCTAAGGAAGAAAACGATACTGATTAAAAAAATAAAAACAAGTGGCATCACTTCCAAGCCTAGGTAACATAAAGACCATGAAAAGAAGGTGTGAAAAATTAAATGATTAACATAGAAAAATATCCCATATATTTTAAAATGTAAACAGTCATAACTTCGCATGTATGGGGTGTGTGTCATAATACATCATCAGAGTCATTTGCCACTGTGAAATCCTAAGCTGCTGCTATGAAATCTGCCTCTCTGCCCTATGGGTCTTCTGCAAACAACAGCAATGTCCAAAGCAAAGACTTGTAGTGAACACCCAAACATTTACTCTTCCTGGTGTTGACACATCCATTTACACATCGAGACAGCCACTTGTGCCTCCAAGAATAGTGAGTGGACCAGAAATGTTATTTAAACAGAGCTTGCCTGCTTTTAATGAAATGGGATTGTGAAACAGCCATTGTACACAAACTTCCTCACAGACCTTAGAATGTGTGCCCAGTTGATCATGCAAACCAGGTCAGGGATTAGCTGGGGAATGTTTTTTAAAAAATAGAGTCTCTAAGGAGGTTGGGAGAGTGGGGTAGTTCTCCCTTGGCTGCTAAAGTCTGCAGTGGGCTCCCAACAAAAACAACAACAACAAAAAAAAAAAAAAAAAAAAAAAGAAGAAGAAGGAAAATGATCTGTAAAGGAAAATAGGACTTTCTGAGCGATCAGCCTTCTTCTTTAGTGTCTATCTTAGAACCTAAAAGTCAGATTTTATGTTGCTGTTTTTTTTCAAACATGTACACTTTTAATATACCAGCATACTTAAATACAAAATAGTAACACAGAATTTTAGGCAGAATAGTCTCCTTAGTGTGACAACTCTTGATCTGCCCATACTGAAGGGCAGCCTTACCTCTTATCACATTCCCAATTCATCAAGCAATCAGGAGTTAAATTTTTGTTTCTTATTGACCACTTTGGTATTTTATTTTATTTTTTTTCTCTTTTTTAAATTATACTTTAAGTTCTGGGACACATGTGCAGAAAGTGCACGTTTGTTATGTAGGTATACATGTGCCATGGTGGTTTGCTGCACCCAACAACCCGTCATCTACATTAAGTTTTTCTCCTAATGCTCTCCCTCCCCTTGCCCACCACCCCCTGACAGGCCCCACTGTGTGATGTTCCCCTCCTTGTGCCCATATGTTCTCATTGTTCAACTCCTACTTATGAGTGAGAACATGCGGTGTTTGGTTTTCTGTTCTTGTGTTAGTTTGCTGAGAATGATGGTTTCCAGCTTCATCCATGTCCCTGCAAAGGACATGAACTCATTTTTTATGGCTGCATAGTATTCCATGGTGTACATGTGCCATATTTTCTTTGTCCAGTCTAACGTTGATGGTTATTTGGTTGGTTCCAACTCTTTGCTATTGTGAACAGTGCTGCAATAAACATACATGTGCATGTATCTTTATAGTAGAATGATTTATAATCCTTTGGGTATATACCCAGTAATGGGATTGCTGGGTCAAATGGTATTTCTGGCTCTAGATCCTTGAGGAATCACCACACTGTCTTCCAAAATGGTTGAACTAATTTACACTCTCGTCAACAGTGTAAAAGTGTTCCTATTTCTCCACATCCTCTGCAGGTTCTGTTATTTCCTGACTTTTTAATGACTGCCATTCTAACTGGAATGAGATGGTATCTCATTGTGGTTTTGATTTGCATTTCTGTAATGACCAGTGATGAGCTTCTTTTCATATGTTTGTTAGCCACATAAATGTCTTCTTTTGAGAAGTGTCTGTTCATATTCTTTGCCTGTTTTTCGATGGGGTTTTTTGTTTTTTTTCTTGTAAATTTGTTTAAGTTCTTTGTAGATTCTGGATATTAGCCCTTTGTCAGATGGATAGATTGCAAAATTTTCTCCCATTCTGTAGGTTGCCTGTTCACTCTGATGATAGTTTCTTTTGCTGTACAGAAGCTCTTTAGTTTAATTACATCCCATTTGTCTATTTTGGCTTTTTTTGTCATTGCTTTTGGTGTTTTAGTCATGAAGTCCTTGCCCATGCTATGTCCTGAATGGTATTGCCTAGGTTTTCTTCTAGGGTTTTTAAGGTTTTAGATCTTATGTTTAAGTCTTTAATCCATCTTGAGTAAATTTTTGTATAAGGTGTAAGCAAGGGGTCCAGTTTCAGTTTTCTGCATATGGCTAGCCAGCTTTCCCAACACTATTTATTAAACATGGAATCCTTTCCCTAATGCTTATTTTTGTCAGGTTTGTCAAAGATCAGATGGTTTTAGGTGTGTGGCATTATTTCTGAGGCTTCTGTTCTGTGTCATTGGTCTATATATCTGTTTTGGTACTAATACGATGATGTTTTGGTTACTGTAGCCTTGTAATGTAGTTTGAAGTCAGGTTGCGTGATGCCTCCAGCTTTGTTCCTTTTGCTTAGGATTGTCTGGCATATATGGGCTCTTTTTTTGGTTCCATTTGAAATTTAAAGTAGTTTTTTCTAATTCTGTGAAGAAAGTCAATAATAGCTTGTTGGAAATAGCATTGCATCAAAATTACTTTGGGCAGTATGGCCATTTTCACAATATTGATTCCTCCTATCCATCAGCATGGGATGTTTTTCTATTTGCTTGTGTCCTCTTTTATTTCCTTAAGCAGTGGTTTGTAGTTCTTGAGGAGGTCCTTCACATCCCTTGTAAGTTGTATTTCTAGGTATTTTATTCTTTTTGTAGCAATTGTGAATGGGAGTTTGCTCATGATTTGGCTCTTTGTTTGTCTGTTATTGGTGTATAGGAATGCTAGTAATTTCTTTGCACATTTATTTTGTATGCTGAGACATTGCTGAAGTTGCTTATCAGCTTAAGGAGTTTTGGGGCTGAGACAATGGGGTTTCCTAAATATACAATCATGTCATCTGCAAACAGAGATAATTTGATTTCCTCTCTTCCTATTTGAAGACCTTTATTTCTTTCTCTTGCCTGATTACCCTGGCCAGAACTTCCAATACCATGTTAAATAGGAGTGGTGAGAGAGGGCATCCTTGTCTTGTGCCAGTTTTCAAAGGGAATGCTTCCAGTTTTTGCCCATTCAGTATGATATTGGCTGTGGGTCTGTCATAAATAGCTCTTATTATTTTGAGATATGTTCCATCAGTACTTAGTTTATTGAGTGTTTTTAGCATGAAGCCATGTTGAATCTTATTGAAAGCCTTTTCTGCATCTATTGAAATAATCACGTGATTTTTGTCCTTGATTGTGTTTATGTGATGGATTACATTTATTGATTTGCATATGTTGAACCAGCCTTGCATCCCAGGGATGAAGCCACCTTGATCACGGTGGAAAAGCTTTTTGATGTGCTGCTGGATTCGGTTTGCCAGTGTTTTATTGAGGATTTTCGCATTGATGTTTATCACGGATATTGGTCTAAAATGTTGTTGTTGTTGTGTCTCTGCCAGGTTGGGATATCAGGATGATGCTGGCCTCATCAAATGAGTTAGGGAGGATTCCCTCATTTTCTGTTGTTCAGAATAGTTTCAGAAGGAATGGGATCAGCTCCACTTTGTACCTCTGGTAGAATTCGGCTGTGAATCTGTCTGGTCCTGGGCTTTTTTGGCTAGTAGGGTATTAATTACTGCCTCAATTTCAGAACTTGTTTTTGTTCTATTCAGGGATTTGACTTCTTCCTGGTTTAGTCTGGGGAGGGTGTATGTATCCAGGAATTTATCCATTCTTCCAGATTTTCTAGTTTATTTGCACAGAAGTGTTATAATATTCTCTGACGGTAGTTTGTATTTCTGTGGGAACAGTGGTCATATCCCCTTTATCATTTTTTATTGTGTCTATTTGATTCTTCTCTCTTTTCTTCTTAATTAGTCTGGCTAATTCTGTTAATCTTTTAAAAAAAACAGCCCCTGGATTCATTGATTTTTTTGGAGGGTTTTCCCTGCTCCTATCTCCTTCGGTTCAATTGTCATCTTAGT
Source organism: Homo sapiens (assembly GCF_000001405.40). Lineage (NCBI taxonomy): Eukaryota > Metazoa > Chordata > Mammalia > Primates > Hominidae > Homo > Homo sapiens. The sequence goes on along the minus strand of NC_000012.12, from coordinate 41,283,014 downwards.
TATTTGTTGCCTTCTGCTAGCTTTTGAATTTGTTTGCTCTTGCTTCTCTAGTTGTTTTAATTGCTATGTTAGGGTGTCGATTTTAGATCTTTGCCACTTTCTCCTGTGGGCATTTAGTGCTATAAATTTCCCTCCAAACACTGCTTTAGCTGTGTCCCAGAGATTCTGGTACATTGTGTCTTTGATCTCATTGGTTTCAAAGAACTTATTTATTTCCCACCTTCATTTCATTATTTACCCAGTAGTCATTCAGGAGCAGGTTGTTCAGTTTCCATGTAGTTGTATGGTTTTGAGTGAGTTTCTTAATCCTGAGTTCTAGTTTGATTTCACCGTGGTCTGAGAGACTGTTTGTTTTGATTTCCGTTCTTTTGCATTTGCTGAGGATTGTTTTATTTCCAATCATGTGGTTGATTTTAGAATAAGTGCAATGTGGTGCTGAGAAGAATGCATATTCTGTTGATTTTGGGTGAAGAGTTCTGTAGATGTCTATTAGGTCTGCTTGGTCCAGAGCTGAGTTCAACTCCCGAATATCCTTGTTAATTTTCTGTCTCATTGATCTGTCTAATATTGACAGTGGGGTGTTAAAATCTCCCCCTATTATTGTGTGGTAGTCTAAGTCTCTTTGTAGGTCTCTAATAACTTGCTTTATGAAACTGAGTGCTCCTGTATTGGGTGCATATATATTTAGGATAGTTAGCTCTTCTTGTTGCATTGATCCCTTTACCATTATGTAATGCTCTTCTTTGTCTTTTTAAATCTTTGTTGGTTTAAAGTCTGTTTTATCAGAGACTAGTATTGCAACCCCTGTTTTTTTTGCTTTCCATTTGCATGGTAAATATTCCTCCATCCCTTTATTTTGAGCCTATGTGTATCGTTGCACATGAGATGGGTCTCCTGAATACAGCACACCAATGGATCTTGACTCTTCATCGAATTTGCCAGTCTTTGCCTCTTAATTGGGGCATTTAGCACGGTTACATTTAAGGTTAATATTGTTATGTATGAATTTGATTCTGTCATTATGATGTTAGCTGGTTATTTTGCCCATTAGATGATGCAGTTTCTTCATACTGTCAATGGTCTTTACATTTCGGTATGTTTTTGCAGTGGCTGGTAGTAGTTTTTCCTTTCCATATTTAGTGCTTTCTTCAGGAGCTCTTGTAAGGCAGGCCTGGTGGTGACAAAATCCCTCAGGGCAATCAGGCAAGGAAAGCATCCTGAACTGTGTTTTCCAGCTTGGTTCCATTCGCCCTGTCACTTTCAGGTACACCAGTGAAACATAGGTTTGGTCTTTTCACATAGTCCCATATTTCTTGGAGGCTTTGTTCATTCCTTTTCATTCTTTTTTCTCTGATCTTGCCTTCATGCTTTATTTCATTGAGTTGATCTTTAACCTCTGATATCCTTTCTTCCACTTGATCAATTTGGCTATTGATACTTGTGTATGCTTTGCGAAGTTCTTGTGCTATGTTTTTCAGCTCCATCGGGTCATTTATGTTCTTCTCTAAACTGGTTATTCTAGTTAGCAATTACTCTAACCTTTTATCAAGGTTCTTAGCTTCCTTGCATTGAGTTAGAACATGCTCCTTTAGCTTGGAGGAGTTTGTTATTACCCACCTTCTGAAGCCTACTTCTGTCAATTCATCAAACTCATTCTCTGTCCAGTTTTGTTCCCTTGCTGGCGAGGAGTTGTGATCCTTTGGAGTAGAAGAGGCATTCTGGTTTTTGAAATCTTCAGCCTATTTGCACTGGTTTTTCCTCATCTTTGTGGATTTATCTACCTTTGATCTTTGCTGTTGGTGATCTTTGGATGGAGTTTTTGCGTGGTCATCTGTTTTGTTGATGTTGATGATACTGCTTTCTGTTTGTTAGTCTTCCTTCTAACAGTCAGGCCCTTCTCCTGCAGGTCTGCTGGAGTTTGCTGTGGGTCCACTCCAGACCCTGTTTACCTGGGTATCACCAGCAGAGGATGCAGAACAGCAGAGATTGCTGCCTGCTCCTTCCTCTGGAAGCTTTGTCCCAGAGGGGAACCTGCCAGATGCCAGCTGGAGCTCTCCTGTATGAGGTGTCTGTCAAACCCTGCTGGGAGGTGTCTCCTAGTCAGGAGGCACGGGGGTCAGGGACCCACTTGAGGAGGCAGTCTGTCCGTTCTCAGAGCTGGAACGCTGTGCTGGGAGATCCGCTGCTGTCTTTAGAGCCTGCAGGTATGAACGTTTAAGTCTGCTGAAGCTGCACCCACATCCACCCCTTCTGCCTGGTGCTCTGTCCCAGGGAGATGGGAGTTTTATCTATAAGCCCCTGACTGGGGCTGCTGCCTTTCTTTCAGAGATGCCCTGCCCAGAGAGGAGGACTCTAGAGAGGCAGTCTCGCTACAGTGGCTTTGCTGAGCTGCGGTGGGCTCCACCCAGTTCGAGCTTCCTGGTAGCTTTGTTTACACTGTGAGGGGAATACTGTCTAATTAAGCCTCAGTAATGCGGACGCCCCTCCCCGCACCAAGCTCGAGTGTCCCAGGTTGACTTCAGACTGCTGTGCTGGCAGCCAGAATTTCAACCAGTGGATCTGAGCTTGCTGGGCTCCATGGGGGTGGGATCCGCTGAGGAAGACTACTTGGCTCCCTGGCTTCAGCTCCCTTTCCAGGGGAGTAAACGGGTCTGTCTTGCTGGCATTCCAGGCACCACTGGGGTACGGAAAAAAACTCCCACAGCTAGCTCAGTGTCTGCCCAAATGGCTGCCCAATTTTGTGCTAGAAACCCAGGGCCCTGGTGGTGTAGGCACCCGAGGGAATCTCTTGGTCTGTGGGTTGCAAAGACCCTGGGAAAAGCATAGTATCTAGGCTGCATAGCACCGTCCCTCATGGCAGGGTCCCTCAGGGATTCCCTTGGCAAAAGGAGGGATTTTTCTGACCCCTTGTGCTTCCCAGGTGAGGCGACACCCCACCCTGCTTCTGCTCGCCCTCCATGGGTTGCACCCACTGTCTAACCAGTCCCAATGAGAAGAACCGGGTACCTCTGTTGGAAATGCAGAAATCACCCACCTTCTGCATGGGCCTTGCTGGGAGCTGCAGACCACAGCTGTTCCTATTCGGCCATCTTGCCCAGGAATTCCCTATGTTGCTGTTTTCTACCTTACAGTTCTATAGACTGATGGAAAAAAGAAGTCTTCAAGTTTTAAAAATCTTCTTATATGCCTTGCAGGTGGGCTTTTATTAATCATTATTGTCTCTTTATAGGCTATCCTCAATACTACTATAATTATCTCCAACTCTAGTTCTTTGTTTCAACCCATGTCTTCTTCCCTCTATTGAAAACATTAGTACTTCCTTGAAATAGTAATATGTTTGATTTCTACATTTTCAGTTTTAAGGAAATTCACATTTCACACAGACTGGAGCCAGGTCAATTAATATTCTTATCTGAGGACACAGAGACTTATTTAGGTTAATAAATAAATAAATACAAGCTTTCCTAGAAAAACCAAAATAGAAACTAATTATTCAATAATAGTGGCTCCTACTTATTGTTGGAAACTACTACCCATCTTTAAATACCACGACCATCATTTTTTATAAAATGAAGATGCTGCTTCTCATTTAAGTTCATAAATTGGGCCAACACGTTTTAGCTTTTTAGGTTTTAAAAACTGCCTGCCTACTTCATGTAAACAAAATCAAAGCTGAGATGACTAGAAATAATATTTTGACAATTTTATTTTCTCTTTTTGATTGCTTAAGAAAGTTCTTAAATAATTTTGAGTTTAAGGGAATCTTATACATCTCTCTAGTTCAGCATTCTTATTTTATAAATGACTTATGTCAAGAATGACTGATTTGTTTAAAGTATAAAAGAGCATTGATTCTCAAATGTTACCAACCCAAACATTTGAAAAACACTGTATACCCGAACCCTGCGTGTAACTGGTTTCCCAGTGCCCTTTGAGAGTCACTTAACAAGAATCCTAGCACATCGTTATTTTTATGTCACCCTGCCTTTATTTTTAGTGTCCCAAAAATCCTTCTGGAGTTATAAATATGGCAGGATATTTAACTGGGACTTTTTCTTTCTGTTTTAGCTGAAGGCTGAAAGGCTGAGATAAGGGCCTTTATCCATGCATCCTTAGTAGGGGCTCCATCACTATGCAGGGCTTGCTAAAATGGCATCCCAAAACAAATACTGAGACCCTCCATTTAATCCGCACTAAGAAGATATTTAGAAATTAGAAAGTTCAAAGGATGGGAGTGTTTGGAATAGAATTTCCTTAGGAACAGTTGTTGTGATGTAGCATTTTCCGCTGTTCCCTTATCTCTATCTTGAGTAAAAGGACTTTCAAGGGAACTACTGGACAAGGTTTAACTTTGAATGAGGTAGGGAATTTTGATTATTAAGAGACTGTTTTTATAATTAAAAGTTACTGAAGCTATGGGACTGCTTTCACTTTTCATCAGAAGCACAGAAATAGCTGGCCCCTCTAGCAGGGTTTTAGGGACAGTGGAAGGAAAAATAATGCTTTATATTGCACCATATTGAGTTCTGCTCTTTCAATGTAATCGTTACACAAAGTAATCTTTTGTAAAGTCAATAAACCTGTTCATTTAACAGACTGCTAAGATTAACTAATGTGTGTACATTAACCCATCTCAATGATTAACCTTCTGAACAAAAGAAATTAAAAAGTCTCCTTGAATTTGGTGAAAAACATTATCCTGGATAGGGAGATGACAACCTTTTCTGGTATCTTGTGTCTATGTTTTTCTTCCATGACTTCTGAATATAACATAAGACTTAGCTTGGAGGATATATCCAATCATGGCCTTATAAAAAGCCTCCTCTTTCAGTCTTATTATCTTATGAGTCACGCATATAACAAAAGGTAAAAGGGATTTGAATTTTGAGTACAGCCAGGGAACAGGAGGAAAAGGATCATCTTAGTGTCCATGCAAACATATTGAGTGCCAAAAGTCTGTGTTGACTTATAGCTACAGCTTTTACATCTAAGAGCGTCATTAGCATAATTGGCTTTTGGATCAGATGGAGGCCATTAGCCTTAAATTCTTTGCCGAGGACTAAAATGTCTAACTAATATCCTTTTTATTCCACATCACCTTTCACTTGCTCACATAAATTATCTTCCTCTCCCCTAGACATAAGAAAAGAAAATCATCTTTATCCATACGGAACCTCTGTATGTGAATTCTATTTATAGCTGCTAATCTACCAAAGAGAAATTGATTACCTCTAACAAACATTACTTTTCCTACACACCAAAGAGCAGCAGAGTCTCTTCAATCGTTGCAACAAGAGCTGTTCACCAACCTTATTTCAGTTGGAGGTTAGACTTTCGTTCCAGCAGTAACTCTAGATTAGTGTCAGCACAGCTGGGGATCACTGATTAGTCCAGCTAGTCTGGTCTACAGAGTCAATCATCCACCCACCTGGACCAGGTGAGCTATCACCACAGTGAGCGTAAGGTGAGAAAGAGATTGGGATAAGAAGGCCGGCCATCTGTTTATAGACATCATATCTGCACTGGTGCATAAACTGAGTTCACAACGCTCAGAATGAAAGCGGACTCTTTCCTCAGTGGGAAATTCGCCTCTGCAGTGCCTGTGAGCTAACAAATCCACCCAGAACTCACGCCCGTTTTATTTTCAGCAACGGCCTTGTAGTTAGGGGCAGCAGGATTTTATATCGTTGGCCCTATAAATTAACTAAAACTACGTGAAAAATGAAAAGGCTTCATTTGATGGGAAGCAGGGTTTTAGTACCCAAGTTCAGATGCTTGCGTACTCTGCCATCTGCTGGTTCATGTATGGAATGTTTAAAATTCCTGTGCACGCTCATTACTGTTTTTTGTCTGTTTTGCATTTTCATTGTTCTGCTGAATTTATGAAACTGATTTTTAAAGTTGCAATTTACAACAACATACTCAATTTGTTGCTAGAAGTGAATCTCTTTTAAAGAATTGTTATATTTTAGAATACATTGAGATTTAGAGAAAAGTGGTAAATATAGTACAGAGAGTTTCCATATATCCAGATTCCCCTCTTGTTACCATCTTGCATTAGTGTGGTACATTTGTCACACTAGCTAACCATTATGCATGACATTATTATTAAAGTAGAACTGGGTCTCTAAGAATGGTAAATACTGCTGACTCTGGTTTATCCAGACAAATATAGGGTACTGACCATAGATAGATAATAAGAGTAGCTAACATTCCTGCCTGGCACTTTGCTTAGTACTTTACATACATTAGCTGATGTGATTCTTGTAATCTGCAGAATAGTATGACTACCTTCTATTCCCAGTGTATTAGGAAAATAAATCTCATAGTGATTGCTGGCCCTAACATTAAGAGCTGTGTGACTTTGGGTAAGTTTTATTCAAAGAATTTCTCATAAATTTATTGCAAGGCTTTAATCAATGACTATATAATGGGAAACACTTAGCAGAATCTATGACACATATGAAATATGACATGTATAAATATGATGTATGAATATATGAAATATATATTTTCATATTTCATAAATATATTCATATTTCATATAAATATATGAACTATGACGTGTATAAAATAATCCCCAGGTCTATCTGAATCTATCTGAGGCCAGGGTCTACTCGTTAAACTGCTACAATAACTATAATATACTAAAAAGGGTTCTTAAAACACCAGAGAAGAGCTTATTTGTATAAATCATTTTCTTGTATGGTTTCTGCTTTCTTGTATTAGGTCCCTGTTTCTTTTTGGTTTCCATTATCTCCCCACCACCTTCCATATGAAATTTTAATACCACAAATATGCTGTATATCTGTTTACATACTGCAGTTCTTTGGAGAGCCACAAACCATTGTAATATGTAAGCTTTCTTGCCCTCCAAGGACCAATATTTGTCCCTTGGGATTGCTGTCATCCCTATCGAGAATGTCCTAGGCTTCCTACACCATTCACCCTTCTCATTAATAACAACTGTGAAACTACTGCTAGTCAACCACATCTACCAAGATAGAAAAGCATATAAATCTGGAGTTTCCTCTGCCTGTAACCATTTACCCAACTCCGAAACTCACAAGTACTATCATAGTCTTCTCTAGTCTCACATCCCTCAAAATCACCTTCATTTTTCACATCCAGCCTGTACATTTTCTCTAAATTATTTCCTTAGATTCAATGAGTCTCCATTTTTATTTTAAAAAGTGAAATGCTTTATACTCATCACTGAAACCTTTGTAGGCAGATATTAAAAATTATTTCCTACTCTTGTGGCCATATTTGGGTTTGAATCCTATCTCCTTTACTTACTATATATCTATAGCCTTATATGTAATAATCCCTCAGAAATGATTATTTTTTTAAAAAAATCCACAGTATACTCTTATAAAATTTTAAGGGAGATAAATAAAAATTACACCAACCGCCTAGCACAGACCCTAGCATGCAGTGTGTAAAGATGTGGAGCAGAGAGGATCTATTTCCTTCCTGCCTCCCCTGTCACTCCACTGAGCTCACTTCTTCTAAGTTTGTTATTCAGGCCACTGCAAAAATCCTGCCAACAACTTGGCCTCAAAATCACTTAATGGGAAAGAACTGAAAGATTGAATTTTTGGCAATGAAAACTATAAAATATTGGGACTTACATTCTAGTGGGTTAGTTCAAGTAAACTGATAAATAAATATACAACAAGTGGTAGTAAGCATTATGAAGAAAAATGAGCCAGTAAGAGAGTTATGATGGGGAAGAATGCTAATTTTATAAGGTGGTAAGACAGAGGCTATCTGAAATACGGACTTTTTATCAGAGACTTTAATTAAATGAGGAAATGAGCCACACAGTTCCCTGGGATAACTGTCGTTAGGCATATCCACTCTCCCTTCCAGAGTTGCTTCTGGCATCAGTTTGATCCCATGCCAGTCAAGCCTCTCAGCTTATTCATGAGTTAAAATGTTCAGCATCTTAGTCTAAAGCACTGATCCCTGTAGCATCTGGACTACATAGATGCATCAGGTGCCTAGTCCGACACTGACCCACCAATGAGCTCTTGGGCCTGAATCTACCTAATTATACTGTCAGCCAAAATTGTTCTGTCTATAATAATTCACTGGGAGACTTTGCAAATATTTGACTGATTTCAGAGCATTTTTTTCCTACCACATTTCCCTAATGGCGAGTCCAGTGATTCAGTAAACAGGAAGGGAATTAATCTTTAACTGTCTTCAGATATTTCAAGGGTGTATACTTCATGAACACACCAGGCAAAGTTTGAGCCAGGGAATGCTAGCTATGATAGATTTGGCAAAATATAAGAAAACTTTTCCTAATGGAATCATCTGAAGAAGAAGCAGGCTGTCTTGGGAGATCTGCTCTCCACCATGGATTCAGGTATTTCAGTAGTGTCTAGGGATACAAGAGGTAGAGATAATGTCAATGTTACATAGACTTTAGTTGGTATTTAAAAATGGCTTCTAATATCCCTGAGCATCTATGGTACTATATTTGCTTCCAAAATATTTTCTAATTCGGAACTTTCATTAATTCAGGCAATCCTTCTCTCTAGCTTAAACTAGGAAGTGTTCACTAAACATAGAAACAAGCTCAGCATTTTAAGCGTTTTCCATTTATAATGATCAACTCTATATATTCCTTCAAATTGCACCTTTGTGCCATATCTATTTAAATTTTGAAAGATTTATTATTTTAAATAATGCTTGGTATGAAAGAGGTTATATAGTCAAAGATTTTAACTACACAATACACAGAGTGGTTATTAATAAAACATATTTCTGTTCTGTTTTTTTAAAAACCCTGACATTTTCAAAAGGAAAATACCAGCTTTACACACACTCATTAGGATGACCTACTTTTTGACATGTGGCTACAATTTATTCTACCACTTATTGGTGAGGTAGTTATCCCAGTACAAAATGAAAAAAATATATAATGTCCTTACTTAAAAAGTTATATGAACTTAACTTAAATGCCATGTCCCACATAGAAGAAGGCAAGACCCCTTTTATGACAAAGTAAAGACAAAATGAACCCCATATTTCTATGGTTGCTGACCAAGCTTGCATTCAAGGACTTTAGATCTTGATGCATTAAGAAAAATGATAAATGATAATGGGATGACATTAAGGCATAATTGCTGAACTAGTTCTTTGGCATCTGCTGCCATGAAGGTAAATTTAATGATAAATAGCATACATTTGGTAATTTTCTACTATAATAAGACATGTTTGCAAATCAACCATAGTTTTTGCAGGTAAACCTGAAAACATATTTTATCAATTAAAAATAAGATTTTATGTTCAGTCATTTTTTAGGTATTATAAAAATTCCTAAAATTGCTAATTTCTGACTGAATATACTTTTTCTTTAATGAAACACTTCATTTATTGGTTTCTACATCATTTATAGAGTAGTGTCAAAACTTCCAAGCATACAAGTTCCTTACTAGCTTCACCCTTTATCACTTCCCCCATCTCTGGGAGATGCCCTATATGTAAGTTACAGTTAAGGCTACTTGTAGTTTCTATCACGCTATACTGTTTCATTCTCTGTCCTGAATTCACTGTTTCTTCTTTTCAGAATACATTTTTCTTCTTTAAGCGTCTGGGGAACTGCATTTTCAGATTTGGTTATAATGACTTTCATGACACTCTCCACAACCAGGTTTGATCATTCTTGCGCTTGCCAGCATACTGTCTTATGCAATCTTCCATTACTGTACTTATGAAACTGGATTATAACTTGCTTTCCTTCTATGTCTATTTCCTTCTTTAGGAACACTTTGGAAGAAGAAACTGAGCCTCTTTGATATTTCTATCCATAGTGCCTAACATTACTTTATTAAAATGTACATTTTTGAATGAATAAAATTGATCCAAATGGATAGTCAACACTTTATTCATTTTCCATACCCATGATTGCTTAAATTTAACATAAGCAGACTACTAAATGAAGCCCAGACAAGCTTAAGCAAAACAACAAGGAAATGCGCCTTTTAGGAACTGCCAAGACTATAGTTCTCATTGATTGCAGAATTCAATTTCCTCCTAAATATTTTGATTATTAGGACTTCAATGTGACTTCTGGAAATTCAGAGTTACAACCAACAGCATCTATTTTGCTGTTCTCCCACCTGGACAGCAACTTAACCAACTCATCCCATGGTCACTCTAAAGGCCTTTAATTGACAATTCGATGCCACAAAGGGGAAAGAAAACAAAGCACTTTCTAAGTAAATATGTTATTATAAAATAAAGATAGAAATGTTTTTCAAGCTTGGCAAATATTTTTATAACTTTTGAACTGCCGATAAAGTTTTAAATTTTTTTCTGGCAGTCTTGATACATGTGCTTTAAAAGTGTATCCATTTCTTACTAAAAGAGTCAATTATACTTACTAAACACACCAGTGCCTTTGCCTCCTGAGAAGTTAGAAATAACTGATAGTATAGGTATATATTTATTGAGGCAATTAAATCCGTGACCCTTAAAAGCAGTCTTAAGTAGCTGCAAAGATTTAATACTCATTTAATACAATAAATGGGCCATTATAGTAATGATGCTTTAAAATTAATAAGTCAAACAGGTCACTTTAGGATCAATATATTTGGTCTGTGAAGTATATTTCATACATATTCCATTTAAGAATATTTTATTTGAAGATCCTGATCTGTATGTCTCAACTGAGTTAGAAATTTTCATAACCAAAGAAAACAATATTTTTACCAGTTGACTTTAGGCTGATTCACCACATATCATTGGCACTTTGGCTTTAAAACCAGAAGAGGTTATTTATTTATGAATTTTATGTTCTTAAAGTAAATATTAGTGGAGGGAAAAAAGTAAGTAATTCATTGAATGGACATAGACAAAATCTTTGATTTTTATTGTTTATGTGAATTAAGGAAACAAGTTAAATTTTTTTTGCCATTCTTTCATTCCAAAAAAAAAAATACTCTATTTGGTAGAGAAAGGAATTGCTTTTTGAGATATTCTATATAGTAGAGGCTTATATAAACATAGAAATGATGTTGCAAAATCATTTGTTGTCTGTGCAGTATTGAAATATAAAGATCTTTTATGAGATCAAAATAATGAAAACAGGCCTGGCAGCATGTGTTTTATTTCCATATTTCAGATATTCCCTAATGATAACCACAAAGTCCTCTGAGGGGAGTGTATTTGTTTTCAATGCAATTGTAATAGAATGAAGGGAAGCTTTTGCTTACTAATGTGCTGCATTTCTAATAATTCTTTCCATCCACTTGCAAATGTGAATTGTCACCGCTGATTTATGTTCATTAATCAAAACGGCAAATGCATGTGGAGTGCAGAATCCGGGTCCAGGCTGTTGTGTGAAAAATGTGATCAATCATCACTGATTGGCATTTTGAGTTAAACTATACAAGAATGTGGAAGAACAGATGCTTGCTAGGAACAAGGGAAAGGAAGTTAGGGCCAGGAGGCTAGCATTTTAATTGGCAAGATTCAAGGTGGTTAAAACAGACTAGACCAAAAATTCTGAGTTTTGGAATAAGAGAAAATAATTATGCAAAACCCAGGGAAGAACGACTTTTCAAACTACCTTCATGTGAAAGATACCTTTAAAACAATGCTATAGATGCTTAAAAATGGTACCTGCAGTTGTGATTTAATAGGGCCATGAAAATAGGACTTGACCCATATTTTTTGTACCTAAGGGAAAGTAGCTAAGTGTAATGAGAATCAGCTATTCATAAAACAATAAACTTGGAAGATATTTAATGTATCCTGTCTCTATTTTGTGCTTTGTGTTGGAGGAGTGGATTTATTAAATTAGTTTTTTTAAAATCTCTAGATACAGTCATTCAAGAAAAAATAATAGCTATATTGTTTTAAGCTGATGAGATAAGAATATTTATATACATTGAGGTTTAGATAATATAAAACACAAAATGAAAAATAATATAAAAGCAAATTATATAAGTCAAGTAGAATTAGTCATATATGTGATGCTACGAAGACTATATTTCAGATTTAGAAAATAAAATTTCATTGTGTAAAAATTAAGTTTTGACATTTTAATAATCAACTTTACTATACTGTATTATTTTTAAACAAATTTTTCACTAAATCAGTTTAGGAAAGAGCACTTCTCATTAAAATATTACTTCCCCACTACATATACTGAGTTTTTAACACTCTCATGATGGTATACACACAATAATTATTTTGAGATTTCTACGTAACTAACAAATTAATAAAAGAATGAATAAATTTTGCATGTAATCTGCATCATTTCTTCCAACTGGCTGCATCTCTATCCTGTTAGGATATAAAAATATCAAGAAATAGTTACTACAAAAGTAAGTACATTTATTGTATGATTAATCAGTTAGTTTAAAATGGTGAATTCTGACTGCAGTGAAGATAAGATGGAATAAAGATTCCAATTTTGTATCTTCACTGAAAGCAAGTGGAAATTTTGAGAAAGCCAAAGTTCTATAAACATGATTTTTTTAAAGAAATAAGCCTTTTGTTACACAAGCCATCTATGCGTTTTATGACTTAGTTCCCCTTACTATTAAGTGATAGAATTCAATTTTCTCTAAATTCATTAATCTTTATTTCTATAAGTTGCTTAAATTATGGCCAGGTTACATGCATTAACAATCTAATTCTAAATACACACACACACACACACACAGACACACACACACACCACACACACAGACACACACACACACCACACACACAGACACACACACACACAATAGTTACGATCCAAAAATTATCCCAGATAATTGCAGAGTTAATTGAGTAAAATCTATTGTTACATCTATTAGCGCATTTAATTTATAACATGTGGTGATGGGAAAATAATTATCACTGCTTTAGAAATGAGTAACTGACTCAGCCATAGCTGTTAAATGGGCAAACGTGAAATTAAAGTCAAATCCAGGTTTATATGACTACTAACTCAGTCCACTTTACCACAATGACCCATTAGAATTTATTCAAAAAACCAGAGAGAGACAGACAAAGCAAAAGAGAGAGGTAGGGGGAGAGACATTTCATCTTATATGGCATTTAATTGACTTTATAGAAATATTTTAGCAATATCGTGTGTGTGTATCAGAATGCTTATTATGGTTTAAAACCTGGTGTTGACTTTATTTCTTCCCCAAGGATAACCCACAGGTCTGTGCATAGCAAGTCTTTATTATTACATCCTTAAACTTTCCATCTTGTGCTTTATTTAAAGTTTGGCTTTTCATCTTTCTTTGGAATACCTCAAGAAACAACACAGTCTGATACAGTGGAAAACTTCAAAATATGGCATATAGAGTCTTGAACCCTGGGCAGGCTGTGTTAGAAACATGGAGAAACTGACGCCAGGCCTGGCCATGTCTTTATGCCCTGTAATATTAAGGCTCTCAAATTGCTGAAAGAATTTGAAAATTATTTTCTACAAAAAGTCTGTTTTGAACAATTTATTTAGTTTAGATCAGAAGTGTTGTTTTCTCTCCCTTTTTTTTCCTTGTAATTGGGAATGCATCAGAAGCCATGAAATGCTGACTGTGGTAACAAGGTTCTGTTGGAATCAATTATGTTGGGCTGCAAGAAGCTATCTGCTTCTTGTATGATACATAACATCCAGCTTAAATAGTATCAACAATTATAAGCTGCTCTCAAATTTCTATATAGCTTTCTCTAGGGAGAATTTGTTATTGTCAGTCAGCTGTCAAATGCTTATAGTATGATTAATGAATCATATTTAGATGATTGACAGTGAAAGTCTACTTTATAGAAAGTGTCAATCATTTTTATAGGTGCTTTCCATTTTCATGGACACTAGCAGTACTGTTCTTAGCTTCAGAACCATTATAACCTCAATTCTGTTTGCTGTAGGACCCTAGCTGCACAGAGATCTGGAGAAGATTTTATTCCATTTCCTTTTACGTTGCTCTAGGCTAAACCTAAATATCCTTGTTTGCTCTCCAAGCTCAAGGCAGGAGCTAGGTGAAGCAGACAATACATTTCAAGTGAAAAATTTATGATTGGTGGTTACTATACAGAATTGTATTATCCAGTTGATAATTTATAAGGCAAGGCACAAAATGAAATCCCTTAGTTTCAATCACGCAATTTTCCATGTTTTTATCCTTCAATGATTTGTTCTTTGTGTCCCTCTAATGTCCTTTCTCGAATTTAATTTGAACTTTTAGAAACACACCAACCTCTTCAAATGAAAGGTACTCCATTAGAATAATATTAACATTGCTAAAAAATGGAGATTTCATTAGTCTGACTCTAAAATTCTTTATGTTGGAAAAGAATGATGTATTTAATTGGAAATTATGATGTGATTTCCTAATGTGCTGATTCTCTTTAAGTTTCTAAAATTATATTTACAATAAAGTTTAACAGACAACTGTCTTTGAGGGAAAAAGTCAAGTTTTTCGTATCTGGAAATAATTAAAAACCAAATAATGAGACCATGTTAAAAAGTCTAGCACTGGTAATTCTAATTTGTTTAACCTTTATCCTTTGGAGCCTGTCTGGTTTGGTCAAGAAAACACGTGTGAACAGGAGGCAGACTATGCCATCTCTGTTGTCTTGCTTCTTTTGTTATTTGCAGTAAATCCAGACACAAGTAAAAACACAAGTGAAACTATCTTCCTGCCCATGTGAGGCAACACAATATGAAGGACTGTAAATTTTTGTGTGAGATCTGGCCTCGTCTGGCAGCTGTTTGATTACTGGCAATTTGCTAAACTTTTCTCAAGTCTCCTCATCTGTAAAGTTGACACAACACTACTTGGACCTAGGGGTGTTTGGGGATTTAAACAAAATATGTTAATTACCTGGTATGTGACTTGTACAACATAGGAGCCAAGTTAAAAATAAAAAAAATGCCTCTTTTGTATCTGTCGCAGAACTTAGTATAACAGAAACCTATGCATAGTATGCATGATGTTGCTTAATAAATATTTGTTGAATTTAATTTAATGATATCAGAGTAGTTCAGAGTAGAGGTCTCTGGCTTCCCCTGGGCCACCATGGAAGCAATGGCAGCCTTAGTAACAGGTGCCTTTGTTAGGATTCTTTTTCTTTAGTGAAAGGGATTAACAGAGCAACTTTCTTACTCACACCTTCTTCTTCCTTTTTGTTTGTTTGTTTGTTTCATTTTGAGACTGATTTTGCTCTGTTGCCCAGACTGGAGTGCAGTGGTGAGATCTCAGCTCACTGCAACCTCCATCTCCTGGGTTCACGCAATTCTCCTACCTCAGCCTCTTAAATAGCTGAGATTACAGGCATCCGCCACCATACCCAGTTAATTTTTTTTTTTTTTTTTGTATTTTTAGTAGAGATGGGGTTTCATTATGTTGGCGAGGCTGGTCTCGAACTCCTGACCTCTGTGATCCACCTGCCTTGGCCTCCCAAAGTGCTGGGATTACAGGCATGATCCACTGCACCTGGCCCTTTCTTCTTCCTTTTATTGCAACTCCAATTTTTATCAATATCATAGAGAAAGGACATTTCTAACCTCTGATTCGATGGAAAACCCTGGTTCTCTCTTCTGTTTTTTTCTGTTCCATATTCTTACCTTTGTCTTTTTTTTCTTCTTCTTCCAGATATAGGAATGGCATTCAGGTTAAAGTAACATGCCAGCTCCAGTTGATTGGTAATAGCTGTCTAGAGATGGGTTCTGATCAATTTCAGTAGGAATGATCAATTAGCAATGTCTGCCACAGGCACAGGAGGGGTAATACACTATGTGTGCCAAGTATTTGCCATCTTATCCCAATCCACTACAGTATATTTTTGTTTCATTATACACTGAAAGTCTTAAGCAGTTTTCACATTATCCATATAAGATGATAGCCAAAGTCTGGATAGGTTTATCTTGGAGAGTCCACAGACCAACACTACAGTTATTTTTAACTAGCAGTTTGTAGAGCCCGTGAAAAAAAAGAGTTTCATGAGCAGAGTTTCATGAGCAAAGAATGCTTTGATGCACTGAGATGGTGGGCTGGTCGTCTAACTGTATAGATGGACAGACGGATGGACAACCTGATATAATTCTGGAAATATGTACTACAAAATCTGTGAAAAAATTGGAAAGAGTATTTAGCTTTATGGTATTATCTTAAGAACTATTCATCAACTATTAACTGATGTATTATTATAAAAGACAGCATCATTTATCAATTATAAAATAATTGAATACTTTCACAAGAAATATTTTACTATTTTAGAACAAAAATATTTTTTCCCAACAAACATATTCTGGATATTTACACAGCCTTCACTGATTTAAAAAACAGATCAGTCTAAGATTATGAGTGGACTAAAAAGCTAAAATGTTAGAACAACCAACTACTACCCCCACTTCCATTCTTGCCAGAATTGGTCTTTGTGCCATTCTTCTTTAATAATTTCTTAGATTTCTTAAAGTATCTTTTCCTAAGGTGAGTTCCTGACCTGGGTCAAAGAGTAGCCTGGGATCTAGCTTCCTGCTTCATATTTGCTTCCTACTGCTCAGAGGACCACTGACTGTAATTGAAAATGTAAATTGCAGTCCAGCTCCCAATATCCAACTAGGTGCACAGGTAAAATGGGATTCTCAGTTTCAGTTAGTATCAATACCAAGAGGAAAAAAATGCAATTAACTTATTGATTTTAATATCTCATTTTTTTTTTTTTTTTTTTTTTTTTGAGACGGAGTCTCGCTCTGTCGCCCAGGCTGGAGTGCAGTGGCGGGATCTCGGCTCACTGCAAGCTCCGCCTCCCGGGTTCACGCCATTCTCCTGCCTCAGCCTCCCGAGTAGCTGGGACTACAGGCGCCCGCCACTACGCCCGGCTAATTTTTTGTATTTTTAGTAGAGACGGGGTTTCACCGTTTTAGCCGGGATGGTCTCGATCTCCTGACCTCGTGATCCGCCCGCCTCGGCCTCCCAAAGTGCTGGGATTACAGGCGTGAGCCACCGCGCCCGGCCTTAATATCTCATTTTAAGACATGAACGAAGCAACACTGGGTGAAAGCAAATCATTTTATTACGAACCGAGAAGAAAAAGGCTTTGATTTGAATAACTTATTTTCAGCTATGCATTTTACGTAGATATTAGAGCCATCATAATTTATTTTTATTGTTTAATTTCTTTTTTCAATGTAAACTATTTCCCCTGTGTTTATTTTTATGGTACCCTGATATTTATGGCACATCATTCTGGTTTGCAATTGATAATAGTATCCTTTACAATACATTGATTTAAGTTAAAAATATGATGCAATGAAATAACTAAGTACAAGTGGTACATGCATCTGGCTAAGAAAAAAGTGTGAATGGCCTTTGTCTAGTCCATCCTTGGGTCAGTCAGCAGCTGCCCCTATGCTAAGAAACAACTGAGGACTGACTCATAGATTTCGAAGAAAGCAGCACTCCTAATGTAGTTCTTTAATGCCTAGTGTTTTCCTTAAATGCTCAATTTTTTTGATGCAATATATTTTAATCTAACCTGCAGGATTTAAGACAGGATTTGAGATCGGTCCTTGCTGTGTTTCTGGTGTCACATAGAATGGTTTCTTAAGGTAAAACCATATCCACAACATATTAATTCTTAATTATATTTGAATTAAATAAAACTTTAAATCTATGTTAAATTATATAAACTGGTTACATGAGTTCAGGTGTATTTTCAAACTTAGAAATATAACTTGGGTTGATGATCCAGTAGAAGTCTTGCATTTATAAACCATGCATGTAAAATATATGTCCTTTAATATAAATGATCAACTTTGAAAAGAAGCCCAGGATTTCTTCACTTATACATGTAGATCTCTAAATTTTTAAATTCCAAGCAAGTTTGTTATTCACTTTTAAGGACTCATTTGACATTATATTGTGGACAAAAAGGTTTTTTTACAATTTATTCTAGATTTGGGGGGTACATGTGCAGGTTTGTTACATGGATATGTTGTGCAATGCTGAGGTCTGGGCTTCAATTGAACCCGTCACCCAAATAGTGAACATAGTACCCACTAGATAGTTTTTCATTCCTTTCTCTCCTCCTTCTTTCCCTCCTCACTTTTGGAGTACCCAGTGTCTAGTGTTTCCATCTTTATGTTCATGAGTACCCACTTGTAAGTGAGAACATGTGGTATTTGATTTTCTGTTTCAGCGTTAATTCACTTAAGATAATGGCTCCAGCTGCATCCAGGTTGCTTCAAATGACATGATTTCATTCTGAAAAAGGTTTTCTACAATACAATTGTAGAAGGAAATTTACTGCACCATCTATTTGTATTTATCAAGTTAAATATACACCTGCAAGATTTAAATTCAAATTTAGAATAATTTATTTTACAGCTCTAAATATAAATAAAAGATTAAAATTCAGCTGATGGTTTGTGTTTCAGAAAAATAAAACACTAATGAAAAAACAGAACTAAATAATTCCTTTTGGTAAGAATGCTGTTTTCAAAACTCAGAGAGGCAGAGTAATACTCTGTTCTTTCACTAGTATATTTTCTCAGCTTCAGAGCAATATTATATTGCCCTCTAATGGATTTTTTGAACCACTACAAACCACTACATGATAAAAAGAAAATAAGAAAAAGAACATATTTCAAAGGTGATAACAAATTTCCAAGAGCTATGACTAAGTTCAATTCTAACTACTATTGGTATGATGCTTTATTCATAATGATTTTAAAAAACAATGTCATAATTTTGTAAATTGTATACACTCAGGTTGAAGTTTACTTTCATAAAGCCAAAGTCACTTGATAGTCTTTGCAATTAGAGAATAATTAGCTCTGCCAATACAATGTTTTCATTATTTTGTTATCATATAAATAAATAACAATGTATTCATTGTACCTACAGCCTTAAGTAATTATATGGCAGCTAAATGATAGAATTTCCATAGGTTTTTTCTCTTTCCTTAAATTGGTAAATTTATAAGTCTGCACATATTGTTAACTATACTTTTATATTTTCAAATATTGCTGAAATTGAAAGGACAAAAAGTTAAGTCAAGGGTGTGTTTTTCATGGAGTCAGTTTTGGGCCACAGCTTGATTTTACCTTTGATCACAGAGGTAAAAGCATGTTGATGGATAAATGTAAACCTATTATCAATACAAGGGGAAAGGAGGAGCCTCCTTCTTGTATTTTAAGGTGTGGGATTATATATGATAAATATTTTATTGTATAGTTTATACTAGTAACTTGCTTTTAAATTTAATATAAGCACAAAAATTCATGTGATTGCTAATTCTTATTTTCTACCAACATTTTGCTTTTAACTTATTGATAGACTCTATTTTCATTTTCTTTAGAGACTGAATTTTGCTCTGTTGCCCAGGCTGGAGTGCAGTGGTGGGATCTCGGCTCACTGCAACCTCCGCCTCCCAGGTTCAAATGATTTTCCTGCCTCAGCCTCCTGAGTAGCTGGGATTACAGGCAAATGCCACCATGCTCAGCTAATTTTTGTATTTTTAGTGGAGACAGGGTTTCACCATGTTGGTCAGGCTGTTCCTGAACTGCTGACCTCAAGTGATCCTCCCGCCTTGGCCACCCAAAGTGCTGGGATTACAGGCATGCAACACCATGCTGGCTAATTTTTGTATTTTTAGTAGAGGCGGGGTTTCACCATATTGGCCAGGCTGGTCTTGAACTCCTGACCTCAAGCAATCCGCCCACCTCGGCCACCCAAAGTGCTGGGATTACAGGCATGAGCAACCGCGCCCAACTATTTTCATTTTCTTTAAGTGAATACAAGATACATTTTGATAAAAAGGCTTTATCAGTACATTCCCCCACCACCACCAAAAAAAGGTATCAGCATGACTAATTCATTTTATATGTCTCATTGATACATGTACGTGTGTGTACACACACACACACATTATTTTTGCTTTGAGACTTCACTAAAGGAATCAGTAATAATTTCGAGGAATCACTGAAGTTACCTTAAGCATGAGGTAATCTATACCATGTAAATTTTATTAAATAGTATATACTATGTGGTTTAGTTAGTGAGATATATTTTATATATATATACATATATACAGTATTTTTTATCCCTACTTAAAAAATCAGGCTAAAAATGGTAACTTAATTGACTGACCTATTAATCTTTAAGATTTGTCTTCAATTGAATTCTAGAAACGCCGACATCTTATCTTGCTCTAGTGATCTACATTTACCTTCTAATAATTTTACATAGAATCCATCTAAAATGATATTTCACTATTAAAATTATCTAGCATATCTAAACAAACAGTATTCAGCTCATGACTAGTTTCCCCTTGAGTTTTCTCTGTCAGTGATCACTTCTATAGTTTTACTTAATGGTGTTTATTAACCAATAGCAATTTCACCCTTTCAAAATCCAATCTTCCTTCAAATATCATCACAAATTCTATGTCTTCAATGGAAGTTGTATCTTTGTATCTTTTAGTCTGTACCTCTACAACCATACTGATGCTATTGCATAAGAAATTATTATAAGAATTACACATTACAAAATAACTGAATTTTTTTCCAGCTCCCTCACTTACTTGAAAGTTTCTAAAAATCACAAACCTTGACTTACTCATTTTTGCATACTCAGGCCACGGGCATTCCATTTTATGAAGACACTCAACAGAAGCTTCTTAAACAGAACCAAATGTATGATAACACATCAGACAAGGGCCAGCAAGTGAACGTTGTGGACACATAGGTGACTGCTTATCTCAGTGCATGGCCGTAGACAGATTGTGGTCATGGTCTTTCAGCAGGCAAAACTATAATGAATGTTACAGCACTGTATCATCAATCAGCACCACTGGGAAATGGAAAAAGAGTTCCAGAAGTCCTCGTTTTGGAGAAGACGCTAATTTAGGGAACTGGACCAGTCATCTGGGAGGCATGAAGGAGTACAAATGGAATCACGGGGGAGGCAATGGAAGGATGAAGATTGGAAGAGAAATTGCAATCACCGGACAAATGTCCAGAGTTTAATGGGGAGCCAGTGAGCCCATCTTCAGGACTTCAGGCTGCCCATTCTGTACCCTTCCCATTCTTGCCCACCACCACAGATACTATTCTCCCCATCCCATGTTCTCTGGCATGGATCTGCCAGCATAAGAATGCGTTCCTCTTTCTTACATTACACTTCATTGTAAATTGCTGGATTTGGTAGAACTGAAGAGATTTCAAAACAATAAAAAGAGAAATAGAACTATTTGAGGCCGGGCACGGTGGCTCACGCCTGTAATCCTAGCATTTTGGGAGGCCGAGGAGGGGGGATCACGAGGTCAGGAGATCGAGACCATCCTGGCTAACACGGTGAAACCCTGTCTCTACTAAAAATACAAAATATTAGCTGGGCGAGGTGGTGCACGCCTGTAGTCCCAGCTACTCGAGAGGCTGAGGCAGGAGAATGGCGTGAACCCGGGAGGCAGAGCTTGCAGTGAGCCGAGATCGCGCCACGGCACTCCAGCCTGGGCGATAGAGCGAGACTCCATCTCAAAAAATAAGAAAACAAACAAACAGAGAAATAGAACTACTTTGCCTTTGTGAAAGAATGAAATCTAATTTCTTTAATTGCTAAATCTTGATTAAGCCTTCAACTTCTGATGAAGCAGAACTCATCTATCACAAGTTATTAGATTTCTAACAAATAATCCACATGGAATGGGGCTTACACATTTTCCCTTAGGTATATTTTAAAGAAATTTGTAACTGCCTCCTACTAAATACTACAGTTTACATTCTTCACAAATATTCTGAATACGTTTTTCGAAATGCAACGAAAGGTAGTTTTTTTTTTCTAATAAAAATTGATACAAATTAGGATGAGAAACTCTAGGGAATTCCTGAACCCCTAGAAAATTTGCATATCCCTAATAAACCAAGAGGACAGAGAATCCTATGTCTTTTAAAACTGGGATGTGCTATGGAATTTATGAGGCAACATAATAAATATAGTGCATCTTTCTGCATCACCAATTTAACTCAATTAATAGAAACATGTTTTTTTCTAATTAAAAGGGAGAGATAAATCATGGAATTTGATTTCCATAAAACACAAGATTTAAAACTATCTTGACTACGGGGGGTGATATTGTAGAAAATCAGCAGAACCACGGGGTTAGAAGCTCGTTATTTTCTGTCAGGGATATTTCAAGTATGAGAAATGTTAATGTTTCTCTGTGGATGAAACTAAGGAAGTGCAGACTATAGAAAATCCAAATTATGACTTCAATTGTACACAAGTTTATATAAGATTCTTATTACTGACTTTAAAATATATAATAGCATCACCTTATCTAGACTCATAGTGGGCACAACAGACCATCAGTTAAGTATTTTGATGGAACTAATAAAACATTAACTTTTCTTTCTTATTTGCTGAAAATGTAGCAAATAATATTTTTAATATTAAGAAATGTGTCTTTACTAATACTTAAATAAGGCAACCTTAGTTTCATAATGCTGTTATGTAAAAAATATAATTTTATATTAACTCATGTATAATTGGGGTCATAACTTACATATGCTACATTCTGAATTTCTTTAAGCCCTTAGTTTATTTTAGTTTCGAAATAAAATAAAGCTTCACAATTCCACTCAATTGTACTGCTTGTTTAATCAGAGACCACCCACAAAAGATGGCACTTCTCATACCCTTTGTTTAGTGGACACTCCCCACTCCACACATCTCTGCTGTTATGTTAGGGAAACTATACAAAAATGCTGCTAGAAAATAGGATGAATGAAGTATTGTTGTTCCTATCCTAATACGTAAGTCAAAAAATAAAAAGTAAAACACATGAAAAGGAAATCTTTCTAAAAATATGATCCAAAGAATTGGCCAAAAGAAAGAACAATCTGAAAGATCTTACTTTTGAAATGTGAATTTAATTGCTTTCAGTATTTTTGATAGAAAATGCATTAGATTATTTTCATTAACCTAATACAAAACAATTCCAAAGATTGCTTCCAGATACTCCAAACAAATAAGTTTGCCAACAGTATTCTAAAATAAAGTAGAAAATGTCCTAGTATGATTCTAAGCTGTTCCTTCAAGGTCAGCATTCTCTCTTATCAGAAATATAGATGAAAAAGACATCTGTAACTGACACTTCGATTTCTATAGATTTGCTTGCAAAATAAATAGAATTTATAATCCTAGTAAGTGAAATAGTTACCAATGAAGATATCTAAAAGAGAGGGCTAAAACTAAGCTGATTAGCTTAAAAGTAGCCCTCTAGACTAAACTCATTTGTGAACTAATTACATGATGCAAAGTAATCAGTCCGGCCAATATACTCATATTTTTTTAAGATTTTATTTTTATTTTAAATGCTTAACATAGTTTTCAGACTTGTTTCTCTTGTGTCTTGAAGTCTTTGTCCACAGATGTGGTTATAGTCTGCAACAAAGGTCATCTGAGAGCCTAAGCAGGTACTGACTTAATTCTACCATAAGGAGCAGATCCAACCCTCAGTCTAATTTCATCCAACACAAATAAACACTTTCAAGTACCAGTGTTTCTTGACATGCTAGTTTTGTTAAAATGCAGTATTACAATATTCAGTGACTGTTTTTAAAAGGCTATAACATGGTGATATTGTGTGAGCAAATACGTAAGCATGTCCCTCACTCTGCATCTTTTTCTTAATATGAACGGTTTCTTTCTATGTATTTGTATTTTCATGTCTATTTTTATGAGTGTCTCTCTGACTCTTCTTTATTTTCTCCTGTCTTTCCCTTTCCACTCTGTCTTTTCTCCTCAATAGGCTAAATATGAAAATATTTAATGTTATTGTTACTATAAAATTATGCATCATAGGACCAGTTGAAAATGCTTATAATATACACATGAAAATAAAAATCAGCCAACGATAGCCATTATTATCCATTATACTTTTGGTAAGTTTGCTTCCCGTGTCTTTTATGTGTGTATTTAAATGCAGGTTAATTTCTAAATGCATGCAATTGTTTTCAAAATTGATGCTTCAACCTATGATAAAGGAGAGTGTTAATGAATTGTAGTGCCCCCCCGCCATGTACTACTTACTAGTGTCTTTACCAACATAAAAGCCAAAAAATGAGCTAAAGTCTGTATTTACCATCTCCATCATCATCATCACTACTCATAACATTAATCAGACAGCACCTCCATCATTCCCTTTTTCCCTTATCTTGCTTTATCCTTTGGGTATGTGTTACCACCTGACATATCTCTTAGCTTATTTATTTATTGATCATCTCTCCTAATAGAATATAAACCCCATAAGAGCAAGGAATTTGGTGTTTGTTCATCACTACATCCCTAGCACTAGAATAGTGTACAAGCAAATAGTATGCACTCAATAAATATTTGTGGAATACATAAATTATATGTAGTTTCACGTTTTTGGTACTTAATTTTAAGAGAGTAGTCTTTGTATTTTCATCATGTATTTTATGGTTTAAAATGATATTTATGACAGAATAGTTGCTTTTTACCCCCTTTTCTTTTAATAGGGGACAGAAAAGATTTCTTAAAGCTAATCTATACAAACATGACTTCTATCACCAATGACTCTTACTCCAGATTATGTGTAAAATAAAGCATTTTATTTCTAGTATTTGTCTTTGTCTCACTCTTTCTACCTCCTCTCTCTCTCGTTCTCTCCTTTCCTCCCTCCTTCTATTTACCAAAATAAAAACATTGAGGCTATAGGTTTTATTCGTTCAAATGGCTAAAAATTAAACAAGATATAAATATTTTCCTTTGGATACTAGAAGAAAAAATAGAAACATAAAATTTACAATTTACAACACAATACAAAACAATTGGGCTTAGAGCACACCAACTGGTCCAGTATAATCTCTGTCAGCTTCACATTAATAGGACAAATAGTGATGGAGTAACCCTCAGAAGTTATTACACAGGGAGTAGCTCATTGTGTCTAAATCCAGCCCCTATCACTTGCTATGTGACCATGCCCGGATCACTCAAGTTCTGGTACTGTTTCTTCACTTATAAAAAGGATAATAATATTACTTACTCTAAAGTTTGTTGAATAGGTTAAATAACATCAAAAGCATTAGCAGAGGTACATAAGTGCTGAATTAATGTTACCTTCTAATATTACTGTTAAATATATAAACAGGCAAATTTTAAGACACCTGTGGTTTGTCCCACTCATAGGAAGACAAATAAAAATGAGTGAATAGGTGAAAAGGGCAAATAAATCACAGTCAATTTCCATTTGAGAATATCTCCTCCAACTAGAGCAATAGTGAAATTCATTCAAAATAAACACAATTGAAAGACCCAATCTCCTGGCAAATCACTTACTGAATTTCATGATACCACACTTCCCTGTTTTACTCTTTCCTCTCTAGCCATTTCTTCTATGTGTCCAAAGGCTTTCTGCACTTCCACTGGCCGTTAAATATTGAATTTCTTGGAGACTCTTTTCTTCTTCCTCTAAGGTCTATTCCAGGGCTATCCCATTTACACCCAAGGCTTCAGTTACCTCTCCTGTGCAGTTGACTCACCATTGCTATGTTCTAAATCTGTGTTGAATCCTAATCACTAAGTCGATGGTATTAGAAGGCAGGGCCTATGAGAGATGATTAGGTGATGAGGGCAAGCACCCGCATGAACAGGATTAGTGCCCTTATGAAAGAGGCCTCTGAGCTGCCTTGCCTCTTCCACCATGTGAGGAAACAATGAAAAGTCAGCAATCTGCAACCTGGAAGAGGACCATCACCTGAATCTAACCTGCTAGTACCATGATCTTGGACTTCCCAGCTTCCAGAAAACCATGCTAAGTAGTTATGCTTATCTTAGGAAGAAAGAGAATTCATTCAGGGGTTTTCAGGAGCATATTTGATCTACATTTGAAAAGCATTACTTAGGCTGCAATTTGGAGTATAGGTTGGTTGGGGTACTGAGAGGAAGTGAGTATAAGTAGATGATGCAGGAGGCACAGTCCAGGTGATAAATTAATGTAGCCTAAGCTGGGTTGAAGAATGTGGAGGAAAGTGAGTAGGTTCAAGAAATGTTTAGAAGGGAAAAGCAATGAAATATGGTGATATGTATAACAATGAAATATGGTGATACGTATAAGCAATAAATATGGAGAGATGGCTAGCCAGTTGACTAATTAGAGATGGTTTATGACTTATTCAATTGGATGAATGGACATACCATTCCCTGAGATAGGCAGATGACAGATTTGGTAGAAAAACAGAAGAATGAGATGGACCTTTTGAGTTAGAAAGGGCTTGAGACACACAAGAAGGTAGCCAGGTAGACACTTAGATATGAAAGTCTGGAGACAGTCATGATCCAGCCAAATGAATGTGTGTCTTAGTTCAGTCAGCTATGGCAAGATACTATATAAAGTGAGTATCTTGTAAACAACATAAATTTATTCCTCACAGTTCTGGAAGCCCTAAAAGTTCAACTTTTCTTTGCCTTACGTCAAGAGGATAGAAAAGAGAAGGTAAATGTTGGCTTGTGTATAGGGGGATCAATATGTTGCTCCAGGTTTCTATAACACATTTTAGCTATTCCATACTTATTTATTGAATATTCAATTGAATGGAGACATAATCTCAGAGGATAAAGGTATTTAAGTGTTCCCTTTTTGCCACACTTCTTAATTTTTTTTCAATGAGCAAACAATCTTAAATATTTTCTTTTACATTATACAACATCATCAAAATTTGACTCTGAGATAGTTGGACCTTAGAAAGTATTCAAGAAATTTTTATTCATTTTAAAATATCCTGTTCAGAAATTTGTTTTCCTTTTCCTTTTACAGACCCTTTTACTTAGAATACCAATAAAATCACTTTTATATGACTAGGAAATACATAGTTTTATTTTGAAAATTATCCTTACACATTTGCCTGTCAATGCATTAAAAAATTTATTTTCTTAATAGTCTTTCAGTGACCATAATTTCCACAGAGAATGTGAATCCTCAAGAGCCGATATGATTTAATGTGTGTCCCCTCCAAATCTTATGTTGAAATTTGATCCCCAGTGCTGGAAATTGGGCTTGGTGGGAGGTGTTTGGGTCATGGGAGTGAATTTCTCACCAATGGTTTGGTACCCACCCCATGGCAATAAGTGAGTTCTTGCTCTGTTAATTCACAGGAGAGCTGGTTGTTCAAAGGAGCTTGGCTCTGCCCCTTGCTCTCTCTCTTTGCTCCCTCTCTCACCATGTGATGGGCTGACTCCCCCGTCACCTTCTGACATGAGTAAAAGCTTCCTGAGGCCTCACCAGAAGCAGATACTGGTGCCATGCTTCCTGTACAGCTCGCAAAACCATGAGCCAATTAAACCTCTTTTCTTTCTAAATTAACCAGCCTGAGGTATTTCTTTATAGCAACACAAAAACTGACTAATGTAAAAGCCTTTGTACATACACTTCAGGAAGTTAAAATGTAATAAAAACAGGTTCCCTCAACATCCTCCTCAAGGCATGTTGGTAGACATGACAGAAGGTAGAATGTAATCTAATAATTTTACTTCCCTACTTAAAACTCTCCAATTATTCCTACTACCCTTACCAAAAACAAAACAAAACAAAACAAAAAAAACAAAAAAAACAAAACTTTCTGTTAAGGTTTATGGATTCACCAGCAGGCCATGAACAGCCCCAGTTTAGATCTGTTGTCTTGGCTTAATTATCGAACTCTATATTAATCTTTACATATTCTGGTTTGTGTGACAAACATACCTGTCTTACCTAAAGGACCTGCATGATCTGGCTGCCCTGTTGATCACTTGCGCCTTCTCCCTCACCACTTCCCCACTGTGCACTCTATACTCTGGCCCCACTACACCTGTCTCACTAAACTCTGTCCCCTAGATTTCCCCATAAATCACTCCTGCATCAATTAGTCCCCTTTCCACACCCAGGGAGCCAACTCTTTCGTTTTCTTTTCTTTTTCTCTTTCTTTTCTTTTCTTTATGCTGGAGGGCAGTTGTGTGACTACAGCTCAGCCTCAATGTCCTTGGCTCAAGCAATCCTCCCACTTCAGCCTCCCAGGTAGCTGCACCAGCATGCCTGGCTAATTTTTTTTATTTTTTATTTTTTGTAGATACTGGGTCTCCCTGTGTTGCCTAGGCTAGTCTAGAACTCTTGGCCTTAAGTGATCCTCCTGCTTCCCAAAATGTTGGAATTACAGGCATGAGCTACTGTGCCTGGCCAGAGCAACCTCTTACTAATCTATCAGTTCTCACTTAGACATCACCACTTCCAAGGGCATGGCTGCCTAGGCAATGTGGTCTTACAGCACTGTGACTCACTCATTGCACAGCATTTTAATTTCTTTGTTTTACTGCCTGCATCTTCAGACTTGGGACTGCAGAGGATCTGTCTTGTCTCCCATACTCAGCATAATTTCTGGCACATAGGAAATGGTAAAATATTTATTACATAAATGAGCATGGGTATAGTGGTCTACTTTCTAATTTGCAACAGGCTTTTACATATATCTTATTCAAACAACACTAAATATCAACATTCGCATAATTATATAAGAAACTATTATTCAGAAAGATTTCATTTGGGTGTAACTGTTAAGCATTATAGTTTTGAGTCAGTCTCATTCAAATCCTAGCCCTGCCACCTATTAGCCATGTGACTTTGAGTATCTTACTTCGTCTCCTGAAGCTTTGTTTTTTAAAGCCTACCTATTGGGTATTTGGGGAAGATTAAATAATATCATGCATATAAAGTGTTTAGTGTAATATCTTCACTATGCTAAATAACAAACTGTGGCTGCTTCTGATCTCTCTGACAGTATAAAAGAAAATGCTGATGTATACTTTTTTTTCCTTTTTCCTTTGAAATAGTTTTACTTTATATATATATTTACTGAGGTAAAATACACATATTTAATTTACCACCTTTACTATTTTTAAGTGTGTAGTTCAAAGGTAATAAACACACACACGCAAACACACACACACACACACACACGCACACACATATATATATATATTTCCTTTTATCTCTCCTCTCCCTCTTCCCTTCCTGGCCTCTAGTGGCCAGGAATCTATTCTCTATCTTCATGAGGTCCACTTTTATTAACTTCTCCATATGAGTGAGAATATGCAATAGTTGTCTTTCTCTGCTTGGCTTATTTCACTTAGCAAATGGACTCCAGTTTCATCTATGTTGCTGCACATGACACAATTTCATTCTTTTTGTGGCTGAATAATATCTCATTGTGTATATGTATCACATTTTCTTTATCCATTTATCTTTTGATGGACACACAGTTCCATATTTTAGCTATTGTGAATAGTGCTGTGATAAATATGGGAGTGCAGGTATATCTTTGATATATTGAATTTCATCTTTTTGGCCATATGCCCAGTAGTGAAATTGCTGGATCATATGGAAGTTTTAGTTTTAGTTTTTTGAGGAACCTCCATCCTGTTCTTCATATTGGCTTTACTAATTTACATTCCCAGTAACAGTAATGGGGGTTCCCCTTTCTCCACATCCTCACCAGGCTCTGTTATTGTCTGTTTTTTTGATAGAAGCCATTTTAACTGGAGTGAGATGATTCTGTATTTGGTTTTGAGTCTTTTCAAGAGATGGCACTGATAAAACTGGATAACTGTATGCAGAAGAATGAAACTAGAACCCTGTCTCTTACCATTCATAAAAATCAAATCAAAATGGGTTAAAGATTAATTCTAATCCTGAAACTATGAAACTACTAGAAGAAAACATTGGGAGAAACATTTCAGGATATTAAGCTAGGCAAAGATTTTTTTGTGTAAGACTTCAAAAGCACAGGCAACCAAAGCAAAAATAGACAACTGGGATGACATCAAGTTAAAAAGCTCCTGCACAGCAAGGGAAACAATCAACAAAGTAAAATGATAATCAATAGAATGGGATTTCTACAGTTTTATCTCAATTCAATACCGACATTAATGCCACACAATTCCAAGTGTTGCTCTTTCCCACATGTTCATCTCACTACATATTCATTTGTTCTTACACACTCAATATTCATATTTTTCTTTCAAAATCAACTTTGTTGAGATATAATTTACATACAATAAAATATACCCATTTTAAGTATATATTTTGAAAATGTACACCCAACTAACCACCACTACAATTCAAGATCTAAAACATTTTCAGCACCTCAAAATATTTCCTAATGTTCATTTATTGTAAATTCTTCCTACTTACTCCCTAGTCTCAGGCAATCACTGATCTGCTTTCTGTTAAGACTGTTTTGCCTTTTTTCTTTTTATTCAGAGTCTTGCTGTGTCACCCAGGCTGGAGTGCAGTGGCCCAATCTCAACTCACTGCAACCTCCACCTCCCGGGTTCAAGCAATTCTCCTCCCTCAGCCTCCCTAGTAGCTGGGATTACAGGTGTGTGCCATCATATCAAGCTAATTTTTGTAGTTTTAGTAGAGATGGGGTTTCAACATGTTGGCCAGACTGGTCTCAAACTCCTGTGATCCCCCTGCTTCGGCCTCCCAAAGGGCTGGGATTACAGGCATGAGCCACTGCGCCTGGCCTGTTTTGCCTAAAATTTAAGTGTTTCTTGTGAATGAAACTTTTGTGTCTGCCTGCTATCACTCAGGATAACATTTAGAATTTGCCTCTATCAGTGGTCATTCCATTTTGTTGTTGAGTAGTACTTCATTGTATGAACATTTACCTGTTTGTGGCATTTGGGTTACTTCAAGATATTTGCTATTATCAAAAGAGCACCCTCCTATGTTTGTGTTTTTATTTCTCTGTATTAAATACCTAGGAGTAGAATTACTGATCATACCATAAAGTATTTATAAGACATTGCCAAAGGTTTCCATTGTATTGCAATGCTTATTTTACTTCATTTTATTATTTATTTATTTATTTATTTAAAACAGGGTCTTGCTTTTTCACCCGATCTGGAGTGCAGTGGCTTGATGATGGCTTACTGCATCCTCTATCTCCTGGGCTCAATCAATCCTCCCACCTCAATATCCTGAGTAGCTGGGACTACAGGCACATACTACCATGCCCACCTAATTTTTGTATTTTTTGTAGAGACAGGGTTTCAGTGTGTTGCTTAGGCTGGTCTTGAACCCCCTGGCTCTAGCTGTCTGCCTGCGTCAGCCTCCTAAAGTGTTGGGATTACAGGCGTGAGCCACCATGCCTCGCCTTATTTTAAATATAACGTTTTTATAAATTGGTTTGTTGTGTAAATTTTTGTTTAATGACTTGTTGACTATATTGTAATCTGACCACACAAGGCTAGTGTGAATGACTCAGGTAAGAGGGGAATGAGATGTTGGATGATTTATCATAGATCATATACAAAGGGTCTTCAAACAGTTCATGGAAAAGGTGTATTATTTTAAAAATTATGCATGAATTTCAAATTTATTTGCATCAAAATAAACTAACTTTTTATAACATGTCTGAACAGAGTCTAGTTTGAAGAACTAAGGATAAGACAGTTTGAAAAGAGACCCTATCAGAGCAATATTAACTCTGCTAAAATTGAAGTAAGAACAAATACCAAATTTATAATGAAGCTTGGGAGGAAGAATGGTGAAATCATTGATACTTTACAAAAAGTTTATAGGGAAAATGCCCCCAAAGAAACAAGCAGTTTACAAATTTTAAGAAGAGATGAGAATATGTTGAAGATGAAGCCCATGGCAGCAGATTACCATATCAATTTTTGAGGAAAATAATTCATCTTTTTCATGCCCTAATTGAAGAGGACTGATGATTAAAAGCTGAAACAATAGCCAACACCACAAACATCTCAATTGGTTCAGCTTACATCATCTGACTGAAAAATTGAAGTTGAGCAAACTTTCCACTTGATGGGTACCAAAACTATTGTACCCAGATCAGCTGCAGAAAAAAACAGAGCTTTTAATGGAAATTTTAAACAAATGGGATCGAGATCTTGAAGCAGTTTTTCAAAGAATTCTAACAGGAGGTAAAACATGTCTTTACCAGTACAATCCTGAAAACAAAGTACAATCAAAGCAATGACTACCAAAAGTTGGCTGTGGTCCAGTCAAAGTAAAAGTGGACCAGTCAAGAGTGAAAGCAGTTCTTTGTGATACTCAAGCAGCAGTTCTTTGTGATACTCAAGGCACTTTGCCTGTTGAATTTCTGGAGGGTTGACAAACAATAACATCTGCTTATTATGAAGATATTTTGAGAAAGCCACAACTTTAGCAGAAAAACACCCAGGAAAGATTTACTAGTCTTTCTCCACCGTGTCAATGCTCCTGCTCATTCCTCTCAACACGTAAGTGCAACTTTGTGAAAGTTTCAACAGGAAATCATTAGGCATCTACCTTCCAGTTCTAATTTGGCTCCTCCAAACTTCTTTTCATTTGCCAAGCTTGACAAACCTGTCAAGCACACCCATTTTTCTCCAGTTAATAATGTAAAAAAGATAGCATTGGCATGGTTAAATTCCCAGAACTTTTAGTTATTTAGGGATGGACTAAAAGGCTGGCATCATTGCTTACAAAAGTATCTTGAACTTGATGGAGGTTATTTTGAGAAATATAGTTTATATTTTTCATTTTTGTCTTTTAATTTCATTTTTCTACAAACTATTTGAAGTTCCCTCATATTAAAAGAAAGCAAGATGGTGGTGGAATAATCAAGGCATTTCTTGTTAGTACTCTTACCTTTCTTGAAAATGTTTTTGGAGGTGAGCAAATCAACAAGACTGTACTCATAACAACTGTTTTTCTTGTAACACAGAACTTTTTCTGAAAATTAGTTGTTCGCTTTTGCTAAATCATGGAATGAACCAGAAGTACAGACTAGTTACAAAAAAATAATACTTTGAGAGTCTGGAGTGGTCAGAAGACACTTTTGTAATGCATTTACAATGATATGTCTGAACACCTAAGTCAAGAGCAAACAAGTATGCAAGTTACCATACCCATTTTCTCCATAGTTGTCTGTACCATCTAGACAAATCTACAAAGGATCAGTCTAAAAGAATTGTCCCCTTAATTGAGATTTCTATCTCACGACTATGCTTCCTGGAGAAAAGTGTGCGTAAATTAGATTGATTTCCCATAAAACTTCATGGGGAAATTTAAACATACACACATAACCCCTCACTATAAATGAAGGAAAGGCTTCAGTTGCCAAATCCAAACTCTATACCTATGAATGCGAATGCACTCTGCTTCTTTACCTTCCTACTAGCTTCTACAGTTGAAATTTAGTGCAGAGTAAGTCAACAGAAAATGTCAAAGTGTAAAGTCTTCAAATCAAAGGAAGGCTGCATAATACTTCAGGCCCCAGTAAGTCATCAGCAAAGCACTCTTGGATGATGATAAATCCATCGTTATGCTTCTTAAATAATTGAGGTTGAAAATAAACTGCAATAGCAAGGGAATGGTGTATTCCGGGCATCACAATTATGTTCCTGTCACCCTACTACTAACTTCTGTCCAGCCTCAAAGCCATTCATTCAGGTACCTTCTTCCCCAAATCCTCACAATTCAGCAACAAATCTAGACCACAGGCTTTACAGCAGTACATTCCCATATTGTCTGGCATCCAAATGGTGTGCAAGTTCCCATATACTAATTTATTTTCTCCAAAATAACTTCTTTTGACATGCTGTATACAATCTGTACAAGTCACCTTCAATACAGGAATTTGTCTTAATTAGTGACAAGATACATCTTCATGCAAAATAGTTCATACTAACAATGTACTTTTTGTGGTATTGGGTCAGTGCAGAAGTACTTGCGATTTTTGCCATTAAAACTAATGGCAAACCCATTACTTTTTTCATACCTACCTGCATGTTTAGACATTGAGTCTTATAATTATCTTTTTGAAACTGATTCTCTATCTCTGTGTGTGTATATGTGTGTGTATACACACATGTGCACATGTGAATATGCATGTATAACATGGTCATTTTTGTTTAGTAATAACCAAGAAGCTTTTACTTCAGAGTAATTTAAGATAAATACTGGGAAATCATAAATGTCCACTAAAACTATCTAAGTACTATGCATATATGGTTCATATAATAACCATGAAATCTAAATGCTTTCTGGTTATTACCAAACAAATATTACTTTGTAATCAGGTTGTAATTACTAATGACATTATATAAATTACTCTGGGGATAATTACATTACGCCAAGCAAATAATCTGTATTTTAGTTTATTTTTAAAATGCTACATTACAATGCAATTATTTATAATAAGATATCTTTTAATATTTATTTTAAAATTTATTTCACTTCTAAGACTGCTGGTAGAATGCTTTCCAGATGTTTGCATTTTTGGTTAATTGCTATATATGAAATATGTTAGAGCTCACAATATATGTCAAAAACTGCACACTGCAATCATTAACATAAATGACCTGAGTTCTTTTTCTGACAGTCTACCATAATGATTAATTACCGCCATTCGAAACTCACAATTTCACACTGGCTTTCCTGAGTAGGAGGGTAAAATCTTGGCTATTACTGCTGTCCATTACACACTAACTTACTGGATTTAGTCATTGAATTCTAAGTAAACATTTTCCTTTCAAGCAATTAAAATGTTATTTTTCTTGTCATTTGCAGTAAGTCTCTGTTTTCAGCATATCATGTGTAATTCGTAAAACCTATGGTGCATGTGTGCATGGTGATGAAATGTTTCTTAGCCAAAAAATTTTGGATTCCATTATAGAAAGCCTTGATAACCCATAAGATTTAGGTTTGTAAGCTTCATCTAACACTTTGGGTATTGTTCTGTATGACTCTAAAAGTACTCAGCAACATGCCAGCTGAGGCATATCCATAATTTTCACACACTATTATTTGCTGAATCAAAACA
This sequence comes from Homo sapiens, assembly GCF_000001405.40. Lineage (NCBI taxonomy): Eukaryota > Metazoa > Chordata > Mammalia > Primates > Hominidae > Homo > Homo sapiens. Next base: position 41,248,156 of record NC_000012.12, on the reverse strand, counting down.
AATAGGCAAATAATAATTTTCTAAATATAGTTGCTAACCCTCTGGGCAACATCGGTTTAAATATCAGAACAAAGTGGTGAAGTGAACCTGCAACAACTAGCATCATTTCAGTTCATTGCAGCCTGCTCTGTGCAAGTCATTTCCCGTTTC